>NC_000002.12:3949393-4252424 GCF_000001405.40 Homo sapiens | reverse complement strand
AGTGTGAAAAACATAATTTCTGTAACACAAAATTTAGAATAGGGAGACAAAAAGAGATGCTGCCACAGTGAAATCATCTCTCAATCTCGATTAAACAAAACCTAAATCAAGACGAGCTTAAAATGGCCATATATTCCCTGTGTCTATTAATACAAATGTATTATAAGAAAATAAATTCATTGATATATCTACTTTGGGTGGAATATTATTTAATTGGAAACTGAAACCTTTAATAACGTCAGTCTTCAAACAAAATTCCAATTGTCTTGAATATAATGTGATTATAAGGGCAGAAAGGCCAATATAGTTTTTAGATCGTTTTCATTGGGTATCCAAATTTTGACTTAACTAGGAAGTCGAATTAAACTTTAAAACCTTATTTTATTATTACCATTATAGTTTGGCATTCACGATGAATCCATATTGTGCTGAGCATCTCTTGCGCTGCAAAAGCTTACAATGTCACCCCAAATGTTTGAATTATGGTGGAACCCCTGACTGTGAGCTTAACCACCTGCGCTGATTCGTACTGAAGCCAAAGTGATAAGAAGAAGGGAGTGATTCATAAGAATTAAGCACGAGAGGGTTCAGTGGATCATGGCAGATGGGAGCCAGGACTAGATTGTAGCTCTTGCTCGGACGTACTGAGCAGTGTGTGGAGGCTCACGTTGTGAACTTTTGCTCCAGAACAACTGCAGGAATACATTAGGACAGCCAAGAGAACCCACAGTAGCAGATGGCTCCTGCAGGACTCGGGAGACACCCCAAATACTGAGAGTGCCCAGACTGTGGAAGTGGGAAAGGGAGACCGTCTACCCTGGAACATACCCACCTACTGGGGAACCCGAAGTTCTAGATTATGGGAGAAGATTCTGACCTTACCTGGAGCTGAGTCAATTTAGAGAGCCAAGTGAAATACAGGGGTACAGGAGGCAGTGGGAAAAGCCCTGTGGGCTCACAGGGTTCCCTAGCAAGTGATTTCTGCCCTGTCTCACAGGGGTCCTTGGGGAGGGAGGCCAGAAGCACTGGGGAAAGGCCACAGGGAGAAGGAAACCTCCAGCTGAACTTTGTTAACAATTTGAACTAATCGAGAAGTCTCCTGGCCAGAACTCAGGGGAGGGCGTGAATCCAAGGTGCAGACTCCATAGGCAGGGGAAGAACAAAAGTCCTACTTGCTTTCACAGCTGGGAGGCAGGTAGCCCAGGGCAAGTTTTCAGCCCTGCTTACCCACTGCCTGGAAACAGTCTCGGTGTTGTTATGAGGGGCATGGTGGGAGTGAGACCTGCCATTTGGGTTGCGTGGGAGCTGGGTGAGGACTGTGACTGATGGCTTTCCTCCACTTCTCTAACAACCTGCATGGCACAGCAAAGGCAGCCATAATCCTCCTAGGAACATAACTCCATTGACCTGGGAGCCTCACCCCAATCCCAACAGCAGCCGCAGCAAGACCCACTCAAGGAGAGTCTGAGCTCAGACATGCTTAGCCCCGCACACACCCAGTGGTCCTTCCTTACTCACCCTGGTAACTGAAGACAAATGATATATACTCTTGCGAGTTCTAGGACCCTGCCCATCTGCTCTGGTGGAGATGGCAGGGGGGTGAAATGGGTTCTGTGAGGGTCCTTAGTTTTGGCTGCTTAATGCAGTTTTTGTGCTGATTGTCCTACTGCCAGGAGGTGGTGCTTTCAAGAAAGCATCAGCTGTAGTAGTACGGGGAGGAAGAAGAGGGGATCCCCCACCTGTTCCCCAATAACCTATAGAAAAAAACATTTAAGAATTAAGCTCCCTACAACAAGGCCACCAGGTGTAAGTGATGAGGATTCTCACTGATTCAACAAAAAAGCACCATCTCTGGTGCCCAGGACACAGGCCCATCATGAAACAATTTCTCTCCACATCCCAGAAAGAAGAAAACTGACAGATCATGACTTTCAGAGAGTTTTACATCAGCACACATGTTGAAGGGATTAAAAAAAAAAGTATGAGGCAAATCCAATTTCTATTTCAATATCACATTTGTTAAAAAGTGCCAGTGGTTTGGGAAATATAAAGACAGACAATGGTTTGCGAAGGGAGAGCATGAAAATTGGAAAAGTGATATTGCTGAATGAAAGATAAGAGTTGAAGATGAAAGACGCCCAAAAGTGATTCAGTGTGTGTTTAATCCCAGGAACTTGAGGAAAGGAATCATCTCTCAAAACTGAGGTAGTCTAGGAAGAGTTACTTGATGAAGAAATTAAAGTGGGCTGTGAAATTTGATAGAGTTGATTTTTGAAATCTGCTGTTTTTAGTGATGCCATTTCTGAAGTTACATCCTACATGTTGAGTGCCTTTTGTGTCTTCCCCATGCAGAGGTGCCTGAAGAGAACACTAGGAAGCTGCAGGGTCAGAAGAAATATATAAATATAATATGTAAAAACATAAAACATATACTATTAAAATATAAGCATGCTATATTAATTGAAATACATCAATTATGATGATATTGCAAATATAATACATAATATACATATAAGTGCACAAAACCACCAAAATCTTAGTGGCTTATAATTTCCCATTTTACACACCTAGGGCATGTTGCTGCACATTGGCTGAAGACTGCCTGCAGAGCTGTTCAACTTGCCATCTTCACTCTAAGAAGAAAAGATCACTGCCTGTTTGAGACATGCTGCTGTATTAGAGGTGGAGACCATGCAACAGGGTCCTAAAAGTCTGCTCAGACCCCATGTATCATGTTTCCTCACATGTGTAGTGTATGTAGCAAGGCAGAGGGTGAGGGCCACATCCATGGGGCATGGATACATCATCCTGCCTTGGGAGGCACTGCGAGTTGTATGGCCATGTGAGGCCATGTGTAACTTTATAGGAAGGTGAAGTAAATATTTGGGAATAACAGTGCAATGTTAAAAATCCTGTTTTTCTTTCATAATAGGCTAATACAACACAGTGAAAATGAGTTAACTACAGCTAAATCCAATAGCATCCCACAAATACAAGGTTAAACCATAACTACAAGACACCAAGGAATATATACAGTATATTTTCAATTTGATTTATCTGAAGATTGAAAAAGAGGACAGTTAAAATATTTTTAGAAATGCATACTTGGGTAGTAAAATTACTTTTGAAAGCAAGGAAGTATTTATTATAAAAGTCAGGTTAATTTTTCATGAGGAAGAGTTGCAATTGAGACATCTAGGTTTGTGATAATTTTCTACTTTTTATCTGATTTATGATACGAGTGTGTATATAATTATGGGAATGTTTATAACTCTTCATTATATTCATTTAGTCTACCATGTGCTTTACATGCATGTGCATACATACATACAAAATATGTAAAGAAATATGTATGCAATGTTGGAATCTTTGACTTGTATTCACAGAAGATGAAAATAACAAGAGAAACTTCCCGGAACTGCGTGAACATCAGGTAAAGATGATGAAATCTATCCAGGTGCTCTGCAGAGAAGCATTAGAACCAACACCCAATGCATCTTATATTTCTATTTTAGATAGATTCAGGCATATGGCTATCCTTTTACAACAGTTTTCAAATATACCAGGTAATTACAAACAGGAAATTATCTAGACAATAAAGGATGATTCAGAGAAAGCTCTGAAGATTACTCTGTCTTGAGACTTAAGTTGGTTTTGACCTGGTTGTCCTCTGAGGCTCTTGGATTAACAAAATGCTGTGGAAACCAGCCCTGCCCTTGAGTTGGAGGCAAGAACAGAAGAGGTGGAGCCGGCTGCCTCCAAAAGGCCAGGTTCGCCATTCAGCAGGAAAATCCTACTTAAATGTCATTCACTTCTGAGCTTCCTCTCTGAAGTTATACGGTGCCAAGTTAAGAGCACACACACTGGAGTAAGACAGAGTGGATTCTCACAAGGCATGCAGCCTCACCCTATCCCAGCACCTGCTCCATTGTTAGGAGAAGGGAGCTCTGACTGTGAGCATGCCAGTCAGCTAGGGCCACGGTACCTGATATGGTGTGGCTGTGTCCCCCTCCAAATCTCATCTGGAATTGTAGCTCCCATAATTCCCACGTGTTGTAGGAGGGACCCAGTGGGAGATAATTGAGTCATGGAGGCGGTTTCCTCCTTACTGTTCTCGTGGTAATGAGTAAGTCTCACCAGACATGATAATTTTATCAGAGGAAATACCTCTTTCAGTTGATTCTCATTCTGTTGTTGCCTGCCACCATGAGAGACATGCCTTTCACCTTCCACCATGATTGTGAGTCCTCCCCAGTCATATGGAAACGTGAATCCATTAAACCTCTTTTTCTTTACAAACTACCCAGTCTTGGATATGTCTTTATCAGCAGCAGGAAAATGGACTAATAGAGGATCCCAGTCCCACTGAACAGCTGCCTTAAGAGGAAATGAATTCCCTCCCAGTGGGGGAGGTCAGAGGTCTGAGATGAGGGTGTCAGCAGCTTTGGCTTCTTCCTGGGCCTCTTCTCGTGCTTGCAGACAGCTGTGGTCACCCTCATTGGATCAGAGCCCACGTTCATAACATTTTAACTCAATCACCTCTTTAAAGACTCTATCTCCAAAGGCAGTCACATTCTGAGGTGCTGGGGGTTAGGATTTTTCACCCTAGGAATTTTGGGGGACACAAAGCAGCCCATTGGAAGCAGCTAGGGGTGACGGGGAAGGTCCAACTCAGCTTCTGGGAGCAGTTAACAGCTATGTCCTTCTAAATGAGTAGAAGGGACACAGTGGGGCAGAAAGGGTTTTCTGGGGAAGGGAAGAGCTCCACAAAAGCTGTCACAGGACAGAGCTATGACAGGCAGCAAAGCCTGCTCACCTCCCCAGTGAACACCGGCCCAGGTCTGAGCTGCCCCAACAATTCGCTGTCCTTCCTCACCTGCTACAAGGGAAAGAAAGGTCACAGGAAAGGCTATGCAGCAGCAGGGCCAGGCTGGCGTGTGCCCTCCTGCACTGCCAGCATCAGCCCTGGCTCATACTCTTGGGTCCCACTGCACGGGCAGGGGCAGGAGCACAAGCCATTCCTGCAAAGATCCCAACAGCCATTCTTCTGCCCATGAGGGAGCTACTGCGCAGGACAAATGGGGCTGGAATGCACGGTGAAAGGAGGACAGGACGGCAAGGCATAGGACTGAAGAGGAGGGAAAAGGAGGCTGTTCTATTCGTGACACCAACATATTTCTGGTGAAGAAAAACATCTCTGGGAGTCCTCAGGCACAGTGAAAAGAACTCTGGTTTCTCAGAGACCCATGCTCTTTTCCTGCCTCTCCCTTTGCAGACCCCATGACCCTGGGCAGTGCCTCACCTTAATAAGCTTCTGGTTGCTTCTCTAAATTGCAAGTGATAGCAAGCTCCAGTAAGAGTTCTAGTGAGAATAAATGGGTAGCATCTACACAGTAGGTATGTCAGGTAGGTATGCAAAAAAGATCATGTCCTTCCCTCCCTTCGAGTGCCTGAAGAGAAAGGCACATGGGAGAGCCATCCACGAAAGAGGAAAGGCTGCGTGCCAGGAAACCAGCCCCCCCTCGCCAAGGCAGCAGTGTGCATGAACAGCTCTCTAGGCCACCAGGCACAGGCACATGCACTTAAGGTCAATTTTCCCCAAGCTAAGTTCTCCCTGTGCATCTCTGGCTGCAGTTTCCCATCAGAACTTAAACTTGTCCAGAGGTTTGGGGCAACAAATCGTAAAATTATCTGCTGCAGCTGAACTTGGGGCCGAGAGATAGAATGCTGGTGTAGGGGGAGCCTTGTTCGTTGCAACCAGAAACTCCTCCTCGCACCAATCACCCCGGGCCCTTTGGCTACAAGCCTGTCTCCATGTGAATGGCTCTGAAGGTAAAACCAGAAAGAACAAAACCTATTGACTTGTCTGCAGAAAGATTTGCAGCCGTTTGCTTTCTTGTAATGTAAAAATAACAAGGTTGATGTGAGCAAACAGAAAGACATAAAGTAGCCAAAAGCTGTCAATAAAAAAGACAAAGCATTGTCTGCTGAAGCTCATTCCATTCCATTCTTTAAAGGACTCTCTTTAAAGCAAGCTTTGTTCTCCCCGCAGTACTTAAAGAAAATGCTTCCTAAATGATTCAGAAATTTCAAGCTTTCATAGGTAAGCCTGTGAATAGAGTTCTGTGATTATTTGGGACATATAAAGAATAATATGTCTTTTTGTAGTTTTCTAATTTACAAATGAAAGTTCCTAAAAGTAGTGGACTTAGCATATAATTAATGTCTCATAAAAAGAAAAATATAGGTACGTGAGATAGAACCCTTTGTGTTTTTCTCATAATTTACAAAAGTATATATATCAAAACTATCTTTCTGAACTCTGCAGTTTACCATCAAACTTTGCCAGGATTAAGACTCATAAATTTAGCTGAGCAAGAGAATATCATGTTACTATTCGCTAAACCAACACAATTTCAGTGTAACAGAAGAACAGACAAATAAGTTATTCTTATTTATAAATCTAAGATAAACAAAGTCTTAATTTAAGTACCAAAAAACCCCCAACTTCGTACCCTCCTTCATCTTTATGTTAGTGAAACTAAAATCCTTTATTTTGAGTGAAACCACCCATTTTCGTAGGGATTCAGGGAGGCGGTTGACTCTTGGGTTTGACTCTGAATCTGAAGTCGCACATCCCTATCTCCCTTCCCAACTCAAATGTTCAGAAGGTGATAACAAAGGGGTGAATTTCAATGAACTAAAGAAAACCTGGAATTATCCTTCTCAGTCTCTTTCTGAACTTTTTAAAAAAAATTTTGGTTCCGGAGAAAAACCTGGTTTCTTCATAATTTGCCCTATCACCTAAAAGTGGATAGCAGCCAAAAGTCACTTATTTGAGGAACCCAAGAGTGATGTAGTCCATTTAATGGATTTGTATTGACTCATTTAATATTAGGAATATAGGCATAATTTATGTTCTCTAAGGGAAGCAAAGCAACCCCACACTTAAACTATCCACGCTAGCGACAGCTGCCGAGGGTATGGAGGACTGCACCAAGCAACCGAAAAAACTGCCCAATTTTTCTTTGTCATTCTACAGTAACCCTTTTCATGATTACTGGTACCTATGCATTTCCATAAAATACTTCCGCCAAACTCCTACAGCTCTTCAAATCTAATAGAATCAGGATAACACATCAATGTGACAATCTCATAACCTGTAGTAAGGACATGGAGCATCAGCCATCATGCAGTAGAGAATACACCCTATTTCGTACGTAAATTTTTCATCACAATCCAAATTTACATGAAGGAAATATTCCAAGCATTTATTTTTTTCCGTAAGGTAAATGTTGCTACTTTCAATAAATTCATCACCTCGTCCACATTCCCATGGTGGGTGCCATTTTTTTTCCCTCTAACCTGGTTATTTGACTTGTTCATACTTAAAGAAACAACTCCACGAAGTCAAAGAAAACACACTCCAGAGGACAGTGGCAAACCGTATTTCTGGTCTACCCATTCCTTTGGTTAAGAATTGGACCACATCAGCTGGGCGCGGTGGCTCACGCCTGTAATCCCAGCACTTTGGGAGGCCGAGGCGGGCGGATCATGAGGTCAGGAGATTGAGACCATCCTGGCGAACACAGCGAAACGCCGTCTCTACTAAAAATACAAAAAATTAGCCAGCCGTGGTGGCGGGTGCCTGCAGTCCCAGCTACTCGGGAGGTTGAGGCAGAAGAAAGGCGTGAACCCGGGAGGCAGAGGTTGCGGTGAGCCAAGATCATGCCACTGCACTCCAGCCTGGACGACAGAGCGAGACTCCATCTCTAAATAAATAAATAAATAAATAAATAAATAAATAAATAAATAAATAAAATGGAATGCATCAACCTGTTTTTGAGAGGACTTAAGTCACTTTAGTAACTAATTTTCACATTAAGCAACTTTTTATCAGTTATGTTTTTTGTCTACTGAACCTTCACCTTCCACACTGGTGACCAACATAAAGCCACGGGGTGAACAGGTTTTCCCTACCCAACTCCCATGCATATGTGCCATAGGTTCTGCCTGATCCCAACACCCCCAGCAAGATGGGATCCTGTCCACACCTTTGCTAATCAGGCTCCTGATTTTGTGGGGAGTGGGTCCTATTCAGCTGACTGTAGCACCCCTGACTAAGGCATAAGAACACCCTGAACTCCCCGGAGGAACCTGACCTGCATCCCCACCCTTCCTTTGCTTACCACCCTTGTTACTCACCTTGCCTCTCTGTCAGTCTCTCTGGCTTCCTACAGTCAGGACATAACTGTGTGTCCCTCTCCCCCTTCCTGCCTCCACAAACATTCACATATATAAAACATTTACACAGAATAAAAGCCAATTTAAAACAAAAACAAAAGCAGCACTCCACTGCAATGGCAAGCCACTCTCCACAGGAACACACTGTCCTCAGAGAGCATCCTGGCACGCCACATCCCACCTCGCCCTGACCTCGAAGCCGGTCTACAATCCACAGCCCACCAGGATCCCACTCCACTCGCCCTCTCCTTGACATTTTCTCTTTCTCTATCAGTCCACACTAACCTGTCCTTTGCATGACCCTCCTCTAGCACTTACTAGTCACATCACGCACTTCCCCATTTAATCACATCTGACTCTAAAATATTTTTCAACCCTGACTTTTTCTGGTCTTGTTTACTACAGAGACATGCAGGGAGACCTTAGCTTGGGGAAAATTGACCTTGAGTGTCTGTGCCTTGTGGTCCAAAGAGCTATGCGTGCACACTGCTGCCTTGAAGCAAGCAGGCCGGTTTCCTGGCACGCAGCCCTTCCTCCTTCGTGGATGGCTCTCCCGTGTGCCTCTCTCTTACAGGCACTCAAAGGCAGGGAAGACATGACCTTTTCGTATACCTACCTGACATACCTGTCTTGTATGTGCTGTTCATTTATTCTCACTAAAACTCTTACAGGTGATTGCTGTCACTCGCATTTTGCAGAGTGGCACTGTGAAGCCCATCAAGGTGGGGCACCACCCAGGGTCACCAGACCTGCAGTGGGAGAGGCAGAACAGGAGCATGAGTCTCTGGGAGACCAGAGTTCTTTCCACTGTGCCGGTGGACTCCCTGGCATGCATTCCTCTTGCAAATTCCACCTGAAACAATTTGTGAGTCCGTTCTGGTCAAGAAACAAGATCTCATCTCACCAGAAGACCTCATAGATTGATCTTGGGCCTTTTCTCCCATTCTTTGTTTACTGATCCTACCATTGAGACTGGGCTCACCTTAGTTCCTGGGTCAGGCAGGAGTCTTCCCTGAAAGCAATGCCTGTCAACTGGAGACCTTGAAATTCCACTGACTTCATACTAACAACACCCTCTCACACACATACCCCTGGAAATGTATGCTTTGACCAAAACCCCCTATTTGATTGAATTATAACTTCAGGTTACATGAATGACCCAGAAATACCATGTCCCTGCTTCTGTCATCATAACCACTCCCTGTACCTCAGCACTGTGTTGTCCACCACCTGTTGGCCTTTTAGTTAATATCTTTGGATAGATGTTAGGCCAATTTGGCCGGTCCTAACACCAAATCCATTCTCCCAGTGCTGGCATCCATTATACCAACGGTGAGGTCTTAGCAGGCTTTACCAATTCTATCTGAGTAGTAGCACAATTTTCTGATTTTGACAAGCATTAGGTAGACCATGGGTTTCTTTGAGATGGCAAAAATCTAACACTTCTCATTGCACATGTAATCAATAATGACAGGTGCCATTCACTGAAAATCTCTGTGTTTCATGTACTATGTTAGGTGTTTTATAAACATTACATTTTTTCATTGAGAACCCTTTTTACAAATAAGGGAAAAGAAACACAGATGCTAATTGCTTTGCCACAACCCATTCATCTAATGTATGTTTTATTCAGGATTTAAGCCTGAATTATAATGGCTCTAAAGTATGCGCTCTTTTCCCTGGATAAAGCCCCCACTTTGTAATTCATATAAGGCTGTGTAATACTATTCCAGAGTTCCTTTACTTAGCATCGATGTTCCTTAAAGCAAGAGATTCATTTGTATATTCCTATACTTCCCTTAGAGTAAAGCTAAGAAATTAATAACGCAACTGACAATTTCTTGATTAATTTATTAAGGAAAAACCATAGTGTAAATAAACTTCTAAGTTAGGCATATGGTAAAAGTATAATACATACACGTTGAATGAAATCTGATAAATTATTGCCACTTCTTCAAATGTATATTTACAGGATGCAAGAATATTCAAGCTAAAAGTCATCTAACCCTCAAATAATAAAATTGAACATTCTCTACTGCCCAATATTTACAAATAGGCAGTAGAAAAAAAACTTGAATTTTTACATTCTATATTGAAAATGGTACCCCTCATTAATGATGGCTAAAACACTCTGGGCTTTATATATAAACAAACTTAAGAAGACTCTGCAAGGTGAAGACAGGAAGACCTACTGGACAGGAACCTTGGGGCCCAAGGAGGAGCAAAGTGGTGAGCTCCATAGAATTCTTCCTAGTCTCACGTATCCCACACCAGATCTTGGAAAAGCTAGCAACCCAAAAGCACCAATGGCCTCCAACAATAACAATTAAAGAATGCCATGTGAATCTTGTTATCTCTCACCACAAGACAAGGAATGTGGCAGCCAAGAAACCCAGAAAACCTTTAGATGATAACTACGCCATTCCGGGCGAATGCTGTGGGAAATGGGACATGGGGCACGTATGGCCCCCTCACCTTGCTGTGAAGGACAGGAAATCTATCTATAGACTCAAGAAGCTGAGAAAATAACAAAAAGGATAGGTCCAAAGAAATTCATGTCAAGACACATCATAATCAAACTTCCAAAAATTTTTTTAAAAATTTTGAATGCAGTGAGAGAGAAAAAACTTACCTATAAGAAGAAACACAATTTGAATGACAGTAGATTTCTCATCAAGAACCACAGATGCTAGGAAGATACAATGCAATATTTTCTAAGAGATCAAAGAAAAGAACTGTCAACCTGGAATCATGCAAAATCATCCTATCATGCAAAATCATCCCGTAAAATGAAGAGAAAATCTAGGCTCTCTCAGATGAAAAAAACTAAGATACTTTGTCACCAGCAAAACTATCTTAAAGGAATGGCTAAAGAAAGTTCTCTAAAGAAGAAGGGAATTGATAAAAGGAGAAACCTTAGAATGCCAAGAAGAAAGAATAAAGTAAGTAAAAAGATTATTCTTCTCTTTTTAAGTTTTCTAAATTATGTTTGAAAGTTGAAGCAAAAAATCATAACATTGTGTGATGTAGTTCCCAAAGTATGCAGAGAAAATATAAAAAATAAAAATATTACAAATGGAAAAGAACAAAGGGACTTACAGGTGGATAAAGCATTTATACTTGACTCATAGTAATAAAATGTCAATGCCAGCAGACTGTAATAAGTTATATATATATACACAATTTAATACCTAGAGCCATTAATAATTTTACACAAGAAATACACTAAAAGGTAGTTGACATAAATCCAAATGCAATTCTAAAAAAAGATGCAAATAAAACACAGAATGGCAGGAAAAAAACAACAGAGACCAAGATCAGAGGGAACAAACAGAAGGAAAATGCAATGGCAGAATGGCCTTAAGCCATAGGCATGTTTAATCTCTAAAGATTATTTTATTAATTAGTTAATTAAAAGTTGTGTCTTCAAAATGAAGCAATTAAAAATAATTGTAATATATTTCATTATACGTTTTAGTTATCACCTGGAAAAGAAGAATTAACCAAATTACTACTTCATATATTGCTAAGGAACTCACCAAATTACTACTTTATGTATTTCTAAAATTTGTATTCATTTCTAATTTGTAGACTAGGTGACAAATTGTTTATTTTCTACTACAACTTTGATGAATCATAGAAGTCAAACAAACTAAAGTAAGATATTCATAAACCTGATGAATATATCTTGAGGCTTACTTTTGTTCTAGGTAACAGAACTTAGGAATTTAGGTGGTAGACAACCACTGCTTTTGTAACTTTTTATTACTCCCCCACCAGCACCACCAGCATCTCAGAGGAATATAGCCCCATATGGCTTTGAAAGCCATACTCAATTCATCTCTCTATGGGTGTCCTGTGGATTGGCTTAACCCTAGATACAGGAAAACCATGTGGCTTTGGCCTGGTCATTCAGAGAAACTCAGCCCTTTGGCCACAGTTGGCTAAGAATATGACCCAGTCCCACTAAAAGAGACACAGGGAGATGGTTGATTGACGAGCGAGGATCAGATGCTCTAATTATCTCTGGACTTGGATCCAGGCACATGAAAACTCTTGACAGATAACTTACTTCATGTGAACACTAAGAATAAAGCCACCACTGATGAAAGTTGAGCAACATAGATTGGAAGAAGGTCTTTATTGGGCTCCTGGATTGAGTCATTCTTTTTTTTCGCAACTTGTACTTTAGGTTCAGGGATACACGTGCAGGTTTGTTACATGGGTAAGTTATGTGTTGCAGCGGTTTGGTGTACAGATTATCGTTGTCACCCAGGTAATGAGTATAGTCCCCAACCCAATAGGGAGTGCTTCTATCTTCACCCTCTCCTCACCTTCCACGTTCAAGTAGGAATTTTGTTTCTTGTATCTGCATTAGTTCACTTAGGATAATGGCCTTCAGCTCCATACACTTTGCTGCAAAGGACATGATTTCATTATTTTTTATGGCTGCATAGTATTCCATGGTGTATATATATCACATCTTTTTATCAAGTTTAATGTTGATGGACATCTAGGTTGATTCCATGTCTTTGCTATTGTGAATAGTATTTCAATAAACATATAAGTGCATGTGTATTTTTGGCAGAATGATTCATATTCTTTTGGGTATATACCCAATAATGGGACTGCAGGATCCAATGGTAGTTCTGCCTTAAGTTATTTGAGAAATCACAAAACTGCTTTCTACAGTGGTTGAACTAATTTCCACTCCCACTAGCAGCATGTGTTACCTTTTCTCCACAACCTTGCCAACATCTGTTATTTTTTGACTTTTTAATAATATCCCTTCTGACTGATGTGAGATGGTGTCTCATTGTGGTTTTTACTTGCATTTCTCTGATGATTAGTGATGTTTAATATTTTTTCATATGCTAGTTGGCCACTTGTATGTCTTCTCTTTATATATATATATATATATATATTTTTTATTATACTTTAAGTTCTAGGGTACATGTGCACAACATGCAGGTTTGTTACATATGTATACATGTGCCATGTTGGTGTGCTGCACCAATTAACTCGTCATTTACATTAGATATATCTCCTAATGCTATCCCTTCCCCCTCCCCCCACTCCACAACAGGCCCAGGTGTGTGATGTTCCCCTTCCTGTGTCCAAGTGTTCTCATTGTTCAATTCCCACCTATGAGTGAGAACATGTGGTGTTTGGTTTTTTGTCCTTGCGATAGTTTGCTGAGAATGATGGTTTCCAGCTTCATCCATGTCCCTACAAAGGACATGAACTCATCCTTTTTTATGGCTGTATAGTATTCCATGGTGTATTTGTGCCATATTTTCTTAATCCAGTCTATCATTGTTGGACATTTGGGTTGGTTCCAAGTCTTTGCTATTGTGAATAGTGCCGCAATAAACATACGTGGGCATGTGTCTTTATAGCAGCATGATTTATATTCCTTCGGGTATATACCCAGTAATGGGATGGCTGGGTCAAATGGTATCTGCTCATGTCTTTTGCATGTTTTTAAAGTGGGGTTGTTTCTCGCTTATTTAAGCTCCTTATAGATATTCTGAATATTATACCTTTGTCAGATGCATTACTTACAAATATTTTCTCCTATTCTATAGGTTGTCTATTTATTCTTTTGATAATTTATTTTGCTGTGCAGATGCTCTTTAGTTTAATTAGAGTCCATTTGTCAATTTTTGTTTTTGTTTCAATTGCTTTTAGAGTCTTCATCATGAAATCTTTGCCAGGGCCAATGTCTGGAGTGGCATTTTCTAGGTTTTCTTCTAGGGTTTTTAAAGTTTTTGATTTTACATTTAAATCTATATGGTATAAGAAAGTGTTCCAGCTTTAACCTTTGCATATTGATAGCCAGTTATCCCAGCACCATTTATTAAATAGGAAGCCTTTTTCCCCATTGCTTGTTATCATTGACTTTGTCAAAGATCAGATCATTATGTGTGTGGTTTTCATTCTGGGTTCTCTAACCTGTTCAGTTGGTTTGTTTGTGTGTCTGTTTTTGTACTGTTGCCATGCTGTTTTGGTAACTATAGCCTTGTAGCATAGTTTGAAGTTGGGTAGTATGGTGCCTCCAGCTTTCTTCTTTTTGCTTAGGATTGTCTTGGCTATTCAGGCTTTTTTTTCCATATGAATTTTAGAATATGTTTTCTAATTCTGTAAAAAATGTCGTTGGTAGTTTGATAAAAACAGCATTGAATCTGCACATTGCTTTGGGTAGTATGACAATTTAAACAATATTAATTCTTCCTATCCATGAGCATGGAACATTTTTCCATTTGTTTACGTTGTGTCTGATTTCTTACAGCAGTGTTTTGTAATTTTCATTGTAGAGATCTTTCACCTCCCTGGTTAACTGTATTCCTAGACATTGTATTCTTTTTGTGGCTACTGTGAATGGGATTACATTCTTGATTTGGCTCTCAACTTGGACATTACTGCTGTATAGAAATGCTACTGAATTTTGTATACTGACTTTGTGTCCTGAAACATTGCTGAAGTTGTTTGTCAGTTCTAGGAGCCTTTGGGCAGAGACCATGTGGTTTTATAGATATAGATATAGATATAGACATAGATATAGATATAGATATAGAATTATATCATCTGTGAAGAGAAAGAGTTTGACTTCCTCTCTTCTCACCTGGATGCCTTTTATTTCTTTCTATTGCCTGATTGCTCTGCCTAGGATTTCTAGGTCATTCTTGAATACTTAACATTTTTCATGATATGAGTCAATAAATTCCCTTTTTTCATAAGCCAGGTAAGTCTAGGGTTTCTGTCATTTGCAATCAACAACAATGTGCTGACTAACCTAGCACAATGTGGAGTGAGAATTTTTCCTTTTACTTGTTACTTTCCAAATTATCAGTTTTGGTTATTTGGTGAAGGGAAGAGGGTGGTGATGAAGCAGACACCAAGACTTTGTAAAGACTCAGAGCAAAGAATAAGGCAGTTGGTCAAAATATGACCCAATTTTTCAGTGTTGCTTCCTGCTCTTCTTGAAGTGAACATGTGTTCTTTATTGCCAATACAGACCTTCATTAGCTTGTAATGCCAAATTAGGAATATCCTTGCAAGAGCAGAACAATGTATTTTTTTTTTGGTACCAAAAGCTGTTATATTCAATTCTGCTCAGTGCCAACACCAAAGACGTACTCAAACATGATCACAATTTACTATATAAAAATTTAAACATTTTATACACAAGGAAGAAGTAATTGAAACAATACCAATGGGAGGATGGATTTGGGATGAAAATAGCAGAATGTAGCAGAATTGTGCTATTAACCCTAATAAAGTTGTTTCTGTTTAAACTTTGTAGAATAAAACAGCTTACCATTTTATTTTCTCAGTTTAAATGATAAGGTCTTCTAGGTAAAATATGTATATATATCTGAATAAACTAATAAGAAATTTTGATATTTCAAGCAAGTTATACCAATTTGGAAAAACAACTACAAATTAAAAATACAATTGATATCCATAGAGTCTAGGCAAGACACACATTGTCATTTTGCTTTAAATTTCTAAAACAGTCCATTGTTTTTCTATTTATCTGTGAAGTCTGTTAAATCCATAAAATCTCCACATGATTTACTGACAAGCTTGCTACATGAGTTCACAATGGAATGTTGTCTTACCAAAACAAGGAAAGAATTATAGTTTAGGATCAAGTGCAATCACATGAAATATTCAGTGTTTTAGCTTTTTAAAAATTTCAGATTATTTAAGCCTTTAAAATACATGTAATTATTTTTTACATAGACAACATTACTTCAAGTTGAAGGGATGTGGTAGAAGATAAAACATTTTCTATTATCTTAATCCCACCTAGGAAAGACTACTTGTTGACAGGGGAGGAAGAAAATAGTGGGGACAACTGGAGGAATAGTGGAATAGTTGAAGACAGTATAATTCAAATACCAGGGTTCAGTATGACACCTGGGTCACATTCATGTCCCTATTATATTTCTTACTCAGTGTAATCTAAAGAATAAAAAAGAAAATGTGTTACTCTCTTTATATAACCGTTTGCCACATGTGAACACACAAGCGCATACTCATGCTTATGCAGTAGCAGTAGAGCATAACCATATTAGGAAGACTTCAATAAATGCGTGATGACTTTAACGAAATAAGCATGTTGTTCTTGTGATTCTAAGTATCAATATAAATATCACCTTTTCAAATATTCACTCACCTACAAAAGGGTCTTCTTCTAGTGCACATGCCCTTCCTTCATGCATAATGATAAGCACATAAATGCAGAGCTGTCCTGATGGGCTGGTTCTTGAAAACACAATGTGAAGGAATCAATGCAAATTCCTTCCTGGTTGTTGGTGAGAGGCATCCATTGGCTAGAAAGAGTAACAAAAAATGCTTGCTAATAAAACTGAATGAAGGTCATGAACTCTAAAAGTCAATATTTAAACCAATCAAAATAAGCACTTTTATAAAAGCAACGTGTTGAAATCAAGGTCCCCAGCTGGTTCACACTCAGCAACCAAGAAGAATCAGGTACTTGATCATTTCTACGTGTGACTGGAATGAATCCTTTCCTTTTTTTTTTTTTTTTTTTTTTTTTTTGAGACAGAGTCTCACTCTGTCACTCAGGCTGGAGTACAGTGGTGCGATCTGAGCTCACTGCAACCTCCACCTCCAGGGTTCAAGCTATTCTCCTGCCTCAGCCTTCCAAGTAGCTGGGATTACAGGCATCTGCCACCACATCCTGTTTTTGTATTTTTAGTAGAGACGAGGTTTCACCATGCTGGCCAGGCTGGTCTTGAACTCCTGACCTCAGATGATCCACCCATCTCGGCCTCCCAAAGTGCTGAGATTACAGGTGTGAGCCACCACACCCAGCCCAACCATACCTTTTTGATAAGAACCAAATGTTTCATTTACAATTATCCAAGATTCACAAAGTTTGTTTTAATTGAGAGATTCTGCTAAATTCAAAATAAGAAAAGTGGTCACAATTATGATCAGACCACAGAAGTTCCACACGTCTGCCCAGTATTTTAAGCACTACCCCATTTGCTTAAAAAGTCACATAATTGTGCTATGCATTACATTTTTATTCATTAGGTTTTTGTATGTCTATTAGACTGAATCACTTTCTTTCAGGCTTTGAGGCCATTTCTAGTTTCCATGCTGCATTATATTTTAGTAAGTATTTATTTATTTATTTATTTAGCAAGTATCTTTGAGAACCTATTCGGTGCCACACATCATTCCAAGAGTACAAATAAGAGTAATATATTTCCCTGCTTTTAAGGACAAGGAGAAACAACCTTAAGCAAATATCTACTGTCCAATGTATAGACTTGCAAAACAGTCATATGATAGCACACAGTAGCAAACAATTTGTTCTTTCTATGACATGCAGTATTACAGTATTTGAACTGGATTCATCCCAACAGATGTACTGCAGGTATTTAGGATATGGGGCATTGGTTCCAAGCAAAGGAACAAAGACACAGAAATGAGATTAAAAGTGTTCACCTTCCACAGTAACTAAACACAGGGAGAATGGAAGACTTGGTGGCTGGTAAGGTTGAAACAAAAGTCAATGCTTTTTACACTGTTTTAATGAGAGAAGAAAAGAGAGAGAAAAAATAAGAATATATGGTAGCACGATTGTCTACAAAGAAAGAATTTGTTGTACAAATAAATCTTTATGAAAAGAAAATCTTTCAACTTTCCAGCAAAATCATGGTATGAGGACATCAGACAACTAACATCCCATCTGCATTGCTTGGGCAGGAAGTGACACTGGGGTAAAGCTATTGGCAATCAACAGCATTTTATGGGCCCTAGCATGGTGCTTTCTTCAATCCATTCTATTGACCTCAGAGAAATCTACTTTGTTTTCATAACACTCTTTTACACTGGAGAGGAAGTGCAGGATGCTGATACCCAGAGCCCTAGGAGTGTCATTGAGATGAACTCATTTACCCAGTGAACATGTACTTTGCAACTGCTGTGCAGCAGCCACTATGCTAGACCTAAAAGTATGGGAACAGATGAAATACAGCTCCCCACGACCAGTCTGTTTTAAATTCATTTCTTCCTTCCTGCCAGAATCCCAGTTAGGTTCAGTCTCCCACACATCCCGCATAAGCAAATGCATTAGAAAAAAAATTGAACTCTCTTTTCATAGAGTTTAGGGGTTGTCTTTGTATAAGAGAAAAGTTATATCAGAGACTAGGATTGCAACCCGTGCCTTTTTTTTGTTTTCCATTTGCTTGGTGGATCTTCCTCCATCCCTTTATTTTTAGCCTATGTATGTCTCTGCACGTGAGATGGGTCTCCTGAATACAGCACACTGATGGGACTGCAAACTAGTTCAACCATTGTGGAAGACAGTGTGGCAATTCCTCAAGGATCTAGGACTAGAAATACCATTTGACTCAGCAATCCCATTACTGGGTATATACCCAAAGGATTATAAGTCATGCTGCTATAAAGACACATGCACACGTATGTTTATTGTGGCACTATTCACAATAGCAAAGACTTGGAACCAGTCCAAATGTGCATCAGTGATAGACTGGATTAAGAAAATGTGGCACATATACACCATGGAATACTATGCAGCCATAAAAAATGATGAGTTCATGTCCTTTGTAGGGACATGGATGAAGCTGGAAACCATCATTCTCAGCAAACTATCGCAAGGACAAAAAACCAAACACCACATGTTCTCACTCATAGGTGGGAATTGAACAATGAGAACACTTGGACACAGGAAGGGGAACATCACACACCTGGGCCTGTCGTGGGGTGGGGGGAGGGGGGAGGGATAGCATTAGGAGATACACCTAATGTAAATGACGAGTTAATGGGTGCAGCACACCAATACGGCGCATGTATACATATGTAACAAATCTGCACGTTGTGCACATGTACCCTAGAACTTAAAGTATAATAAAAAATTAAAAAAGAGAAAAGTTATAAATACTAAATGGGTTTAACTGTGAATAAAAGATCACTCAATTCTCCTGACTAAATGTATCTGAAAATTCTCTGTTAAGATCCAGATGGAACACTTTTGATCAAGAACGTGCTTCATCCAGCAGTTTTCCAAAGCAAAGGTCCTACTTGTTAACACAGGAAAATCATTTTTTAAAAAACTTAAAAGGAAGCATTTTAACCAGTAATCATATATATTAAAATTTTAAAAAGCTAGAAAAATAGTTACCTAGCCTACCATAAGCACCATGCAGAGAGGCTGTGATGGTTTCCCTATTGACTTAGGAGAACAGCTCACTTCATTCTTGTTGAATTAAAATGTTTTTAAAAAATCAATTTCCCAGCATGTATTTGAGCTTCTTTTCAAGTATCCACTTAAAATATTTATCTTAAAATAACAAGTTATCAGATAATTGCATATTGCTGGTTACAGAAATGATGCCTATCGTGATGGATTCAAACGTAATTCAAACATGACATATTGGAATTTATATTGCAGATAAAATACATCTATTTATCTCAAATGGCACAGATATTGGCTAAAGCAATGTTTTCCAAGTCATGAAATTTTAGTAATAGCAAACTTGTGTGAAGAATGTGAAGGCCTGGCAGCTTTGGAAGCTTACGGCCATGCAATTTTCTCTTCATTTTGCAGTGGGGAAATATTATTTGCATTCCAGGACTACCTGTATCCAATCTATTTGTGTGTGTGTGTTTTTTTTTGTGGACTGTGGTGAAATTGGGTAGTAGAGCCCCTGAATAAGTATCATCAGCAATATCTAATTTGATTCTATATAAGAAATAAACCAACAAAACACACACACTAAAAAAGAAAAAGGGACAATTATCGTAAGGCCGAAGATCATTTTTTCCCTTAAAACATATGGTATATGACAATGCTTTCTCAAGTTAAAATTGCAAAATAACACCAGGCATTATTATAATCCAAAACAGAACTAAAATGGAAAACAAAAATAAGCGCAAGTCAAGCCTCCTCTTTGGGAACTGCAGTAGGGAGTTATCAGCACTTTCTCCATAACCTCTTGGCATCACCATTCCCTGCAACACACCCCTTTTCCTGCTGTTTCAAATGCAAGCCTAGCTGCCGCCCAAGAGCTGTTTTGGCCACTGGAGCCTTCCTGGCCCAGACAACATAGTCTAAAAATGCTCTGAAATCAATGCCCTGGGAGCAGCCACCATTGACAAATAACAAATGGGGGATGGTGGATAAATACTGCAGCCCCCTCACCCCTGGGCAGGAGAACTGCTGGACACAATCTGCACTGTCCCAGAGTCCAAAGAAGAATGAAGTCCTGCTGACTGCAGCAGTACCCTCCCTCTATCCTTTGCTTTACCTCCCTACCCTCCAACCAGTGTTTCCTAGGATGACCTCCCAAATAAAGTATTTGTATGCAAATTTTTATATTAACGTCTATTTCCTGAGGGCTGCAACCTGAGACAGAAATGTTGAGTATTATACTACAAAAATCATATGCTTTAGAATAAAGACAAAACTGTGAAACCCTGCTCTGCTAGTGAGTAATAATAGGATTGTGTTACAAAGTGCTTAAGAGTGCAGTTTTGAGTTGATAGTTCTCAAAGAGTTTTAGGGATCACCTTTGAAAAAAGAAAACAAAGTTATCAATACTAAATTCAGTACAAATGTAAATACTTATTTTGAATGAAAAAAGAAACCACAATGAATTATAAATGTTTAAAAACTTTAGAAAAATCACAAATACAAATAGAGAAACTTTTTTTTTACTAATTAGGCACCTGATTCACGTCTATAATACTTTTGCTCCTATGCATTTTGGTTGAATAGTGTTTGAATGTCTTTTCCTGTGAAAATAAGTTTATAATATTTTCTATAGTTAAGTACTACATAAAGAATGAAAAGAAAATTTGTTTGGTATTACCTCTGTAGATAATTCACTCTTCGTAGATTGACTACATTGTTTGTTCATAGTTTAGTAACACTTCCTCCTGCTTCATATTTCATTTTTCTTAATGTCATGTAAAAGTTTCGGATTTTAGTCAAACCTAAGAAACTTATTTGAAAGTTCTTTCTGTGTTTAATACTAGTAACTGCTCTTTCTCTATAAACATAAGAATTCTGATATATTCTAGTTTGCAGAATCTTTATAAAAAGTGGTATTGTTTAAACTGCATCTGATGCATTACACAGTTGGGTAGGGATGGGCTGAGCATTTGCATGTTGACTAGGTGTTGATAAGCACTAAATCTTTCTGCTTAGAAGTTTCCACAGACACATTTCTGGGTTTCTTTTTTTCAAACCTTGTTTCTCCTCTACAAGCTTCATATATCTGGTGCTAGGTGGATTGGACTGTGTTTTTATTTAAAAAAAAAAAAAAAAAAACCTCTATTTGAGTTGATACAGGAGGTAATAGGAACATCCTGGAAGGTATTCCTACTCTGGAAGGTCAGCAACACCTTAATTCTGCACAATGAATACAGCCACATAAACACACCTCACTAAACTCAAACAAAACCTATCCCCAAACCAACCCGGACCCAAATCTCTAAAATGTCCACAGCCATTCCAGTGCAAATCAGCCCAAGAAGGGGCAACCCAGAGGAAGCTGGAGTCCAAAAAGACAAAGGTCCTCTATGCAGAGGCACATTTTCTTTGTGAATTTCACACAGTCCTATGGCAATGGGAACACAGGGGATCCTACTGAGAGCCTTGGAAGGTTCCACATAAATGAGGGACCCTGAAGTTCAACTTCATGGCAAATCCTATGAAGTAAAATAGAAAAGATGGTGCCATATCCATCAGGATTCTGGGGAAAGCAAATGGCACAGACGGAAGACTCAGATGGAACGATTTCATTAAATACTTTTTGATAGAGGAAGTGGATATGGAGCTGTTACAGAAGTTTAGGAACATGAAAAGTTGAAGTTGGGCACTAACGGCCTACCAACATTGGGAAGATGGACAGGGAAAGGGGAGGAAATACATTACTGGAACACAAGGAGAGCAGGGGTCCTGGAGGAAGGCACCTAGACAGCAGCTGAGGCCACTGGTAAAGCACACGCTGCCAGAACCATGTGGCCTCTGCCCTGTGAATGTGGCCAGAGCCTTCATTAAGAGAAGGGAGCAGAACTCAGCCAAGGGAGCCTGAACAATGCATTCTATAGAGGCCATCTTACTGGACATGGAGCAGGGTAGGGTGGGGCACAGCATGCACCTGAGGGGGCAAAATTAAATAGCCCATACAGTACTAGTAACTTCACAGGGTAATACTAAATCCATATGCATATATATGTGTGTGCGTGTGTGTATATATATATATACATGCATATATATATATATGCATATATAAACAGCACAGAGTCAGACACATATAATGATGTTGATTTTGTCATTTTGGGACAAGATACCAATGTATGAGTTCTTCAGTGACTTTAGAACAACAAAACAACCCAACCACAGCATTTGATGGTAAGAGAAATCTAATCAGATTATGCCACAAAACAAGTAAGATGTGTTTCTTATTCCCATTATTTTCAGCAAAGCTCCACTCAGTACTGCATTCCCTAGCAAAGGCTGAATTTACAGAGTACCGAGCCTTCTCCAGTGACTGGATTTTCACTATCTAAGCATGATAGGCAGCTCCCTCCAATGGAGTAGGGATTCCTGGTGTAGATTTGGAAAGTGAGGATGCATGAAGGACTCAGGCACTCAAGGCGGAAAGAGCGTATCAAGGCCAGGGTGACCAAGAAACACCCAGGACAGTGGAGAGGAAAGGTACTCAGATCCTAACAAGATCAAGGGTACCTGAGGGAGAGAGTGTTTCCTCTCTGGCTGTAGCATGCTCATCTATGAAGTGGAGTGCTGGGGTAAGAACATGGATATTAAACCGTCAGCCATGCCACCCTCAGGGCTCACTCTGCCTCAAAACTCTGGGGACCTTATTCTTTAGTTGAGATATCTCTTCTTTTATCCATTCATGCCAACGTCACAAAAAAGAATCCACAGTCAAAAGAAAAGTTTGGAAACTACACAAAATCACAATGGTTTTCTCTTGCTTCAAAAAACAGAATGTCAAGACTCAACATTTTTCAGAAACCTATTTTTTAATGGCCCAAAATTTTATTTTGATTGACATTGCATCTAAGTAACAGATAGCTTACTCTCTATTTCAAATGAATGGATACTTACTACATGCTCACACTCTACAAAGCACAGATAGAAGGATATGAGTTCTTAGATTCATTCCAGTTAAACTGTACAAAGGCAAAAAGACAGGCATAGAAATTCTAAATTCTACCTAGAGGTCAAACAATTTATAAACAACTGCATTAACTTATAGATAATTTCTATTATAGAAAAATCAATAAATCCAGTACCATTATTTAAAACTTTGTGAGAACTCAGTAATGTTATATAGGTAAAAATCATAAAACACATATTTTTTCTGAAATCTTTAGCAAATTAGCAAATAACTATCTTCTTTCTCAGTGAGGAGCCTATGTCTCCAACCATGTAATTAAAATAACCGACTTGTTTAAACACAGCCTGGTTGTTCTAGTTAATCCCTGTGCTAAGAAATGGCATGCAGAAACATGGCAACATAGTGAACCAAGGGGACAGAAGGGGCAGCAGCAGTCTGAGTTTTGGTTTCAGGAGAAACAGATAGCAACACAACCCTGAAAATTAGTGGTATAAAATGTTCTTGAACTATTAGGTTGGTGCGAAAATAATTGCGATTTTTGCCACTAAAAGTAATGGCAAAAACCATAATTACTTTTGCACCAACATAATACATGTGACTTAGTATTAATTGCTTTACAAAATTTGTGTTAAATTGCTCTGTAAAGAACTGACTTGCATTTTAAAAGGCCTGGAAGAAAAAAAAAGTATCAGCCATTATCAAAAAAAGTGATGTATCAAAAAATAACCAAGTGCAATAGTTAAGACTAAAGGCAATTTTGCAAATGACTGTCAAATAACATCTGGCAGAAACCGCTTCTAAAATACAGGCTGAGCATTTAAGCCTGTCCTTTAATGCCCTGGCTTTGTTGAGGCATGAAATAATGCCAATAGTTGAGTTCTGTGTGTAATAGAATTTTACAGGGATTAAAATGGGAATGGTGCCTCTAATTATCTGTTTCTGTATTGGTAATCAAGATCAAGTTCACAAAAGACTAGTTGACTGGTTTCAAATTTAACCCTTTCTCTTTCCTTCACCCTGGCCACTGCCTCAAGCAGCTTATTCATAATAAGGCAACCACCCAGCCCCACCTACTTCTGGATTTGTTCCTTGAGGAAATGGGTCCCACTGCCGTGGCATTCTGGAGGCTAAGAACACTTGTTCCTTCCTCACATTGTACTGTTGGACAAGCATATCCCGACCAGCCCTGCGAGATGCCGGTCAGTGCTGGGATTCTAACTGCAGATGTTCTGATTGCTCTTTTCCACCCCATTCAACCACACAAACCTCCATGTGATTCCTGTGTTACTTGTCTTTGTCATTGTGAAGCCAGCGCACATGACCTATTTAGATTTTTATTCTGAAGGCAAGGAATTAAAATTCCTTTTTGAAAGATGCCACATTTTTTCTGTTTTTCTCAAATTCTAACGTGACCATTTCTTGTGATTTGTTGGTCTGTGTGTATACATACATATAACAAACCTGCAAAATGAAAACCATTTACAACGCTTCAGATTTTGTCATATTGAATGGGCAATAGGGAAATTACATTTATAAGTATTTTCTAAATTACAGAAACAAAATTCTGTCCTTATGCATAGGTTATCTCTATTATTGTAAGTATTACAATTCTCTGTTTATAGGTCATTTTTACCTTCAATTGTAACCTTATTTTACAAAGCGGGCAACTGTAGCTTAAAGAAGTCATCAACCTGGCTTCAGGTCATACAATAGTAATAAGAAAAGTTTGTTTTCCAAATTAAGCTAATCAAATTTAAATGTCTGTGTGTTATTTAAATAACGCACATAGAATTTCAGTAGAAGACAATAAAAGAAGTGTGTCTCATGATTTTACAACACAGAAATACTTAAAATACTACCACTGTGGAGGCAACTCCCAGCTGAAGCATTTGCTTGCATCCCTGAAAGCAGCAAAGATACCGGAACCACATGAAAAGGAGCCTTGAATGGTACTGAGGTCAAAATATTCCCTGACCCTGAATTCCAGCCATTTGTAAACAATTCTGTTAAGAGGTTGTGGAACCTCATGGATCACACAGGGTTTCTCCTAGCAGAGGTACCTGTTCAGGTAAACGCAGTGGATATGATTCCGTCCATTCTCTTTGAACACAGGTGTCCTGCTGGCTATTAAACCCTGAAGGCTGGATAAAATGGTATTCTTATTGATATTAATTAGACCCTTTCTGTGGGACATCTTTGAAACGCAGCATATTAAGGTACTTACCTTTTCTGGAGGAATACAGACAGACCTATGTTCAAACCAACACTTCCCAATTCTATTAGCTGTTCTACCACATAACAATTATTCTAGATTTAATATTATCATCTGTAAATTGATGGAACAAGTAGGCATAACTCCCATGAAAATGAAATCGGTTGTGTAAAGTGGTTAGCACAGGGCATGACACTATTAACATTATTGTCAGAGTGAAATCTACTCTCTGACCCAGGCCCTATACCTGTCTTAGCCTTGCTTCCTGTACTAGCTTCTCACCTTGGCAAACGTATACGTACCCTATAGGTTTAGGGTTTATTGTGTCAACAAATTGATAAATGCCATAAATTCAACATGTTTCTTAACAACATCTCTAATATATACTTCAGATTCATTTATTAGTTGCTAAAATGACAGATTTCAGTGCTGAGAATATATTGGCTGCTGCTCACATGACTAAAATCCTGCAAATGGATTTGAAACACCTCATTATTTCAGAAACCAAGGACTTGATTAATATCTCTTTCAAAGATAAATCTCCAGAATCTTCACATATAGCCAGAACTCAGGCACGCTGCATACTAGTTGGAAACATGGAAAATATTAAGTATAGACAACTGCTGGTTGGAAGACTAGAGCCAGGATAGCTCTTGGAGACACATAAGTGCCATCCCACACTCCAAGTCCCTGAAGTACTGGGATGATGCAATGGAAATATCCCCAGAATGGGAGATCTAGTCACTTTCACAGTAACTTCTGTCTGTAGCCCCTTTTCATTCTCAAAGTTCCCACTAGAGAAGTTAGTTGAGGCGTAGACAAAACAGACAGGGAGAGCTCTTATCTGTTAAGAATTATCACATTTAGGTCACAATATCACTGAAAGCCCAAATTTTCTAGGAAGGGAGTAAAATAAACTCTTGCTGCTCATTAAAACTCCCCAGATATTTTTCCTTAAAACAAAAGTGAATAAACAGAGGCAGCCAGCTGAACTACTTTCTTCAACGGCAGATGTAGAAATTTTCTTCCAGAGCAACTCTTTGTAGAGATGATCTCCACCTCTTTCTGGTAAGTCTAAAAAAGGACTCAAGATAATGATTTAGGGCCAAGAGATGGTGAGTAACTTTGCAGAAAGATCAATTCACAAAAAAAGTAATTTGATCCTGAAGACCTGTGTATTGCAGAGTTTATGGGAAACATTCTGGTGTTACTGAAGGACAAAAAGACTGGGGGCAAGAAAACCTGATTCTTTCTTACAAGTTTTCTCCAAGGTGTGTGATATTGAACAAATCAGTTAACAATCCTGGACCTCAGTTCCTTCTGTATAAAACTGAACTTTTATTGATTGTTCCCCCTGACTCTCAGACTTATGCAATAATAATCTAATATTACAGATAACAAACGTTGGAAAGTATAAAGCTGTTGTTATTACTATTTATTAATATCACTGTTATTATTGTTATATTATTGTTATATCTTAAATGAGTTTACATTAAACAAAACATTATGCAGAGATTGTGATTAATATAGGGCCAATATCAGCTCTTATGGCTGCATTGAGAAAACACATTGATTATTTTAAAATACAACCAATGAGCAATTTTTCCAGGCATAAGTTATTTTGAAAATTATAAATGCATATATTAGTTACGATAAACATGACAACCTACTCCAGGAAACAGCGTAATTTTGCCGTATCAGTAACTGTAGTGTGAAAATATACCACCGCTTTCCTGTCCTCCCAGTAGGTACTTAACTACTAAGAGTGAACTTGGATTCTAGAAGAATGCTTTTATATAAGAAGAAGAATGTATATATCATTATCAATGTAGGTTCAGGCAGTGGTATTTCTTTTTAATTGGAGACCTGAACAGAAATATAACTGCAGAATATGTTTGGTGAAGAAAGAACTAATTGCTTTGAGATAAATAACTAACCAAAGGTATTGGAGCCCAGAAAAACTTCCTGTATGCCATATGTGTAATAATTATGATTACTACTGTATAAACAGAAATCAATTATGTTACAGGGAGAAAATAGAGAATTAATAAAATCACAAGATCAGACAAATCATATGAGTCCAACCACAAAACAGCCTCTTCCCAACACTTATCACAAACTCTGCTTACTTGACTCCAACAAGAGAAAACCGTCACCTCTGGGAATTCGTTTCATTTTCTCATAGCAATGAGATTTCGAAGAAAATTCCTCCTGCTTTGACCTGAAATCTGTCTTCTAGCATCTTCTCATTATGTGAAGCCATACACAGAAAGCCCTAGACCCTATGCCACGTTTCTAGCATCTTCTCATCATGTGAAGCCATGCACAGAAAGCCCCTTAGCCACGTGAGCATCTCACACCTTTGCAGGCAGACGCTCACAGCTCCCTGGATTTCCACTACTCACAGACAATATCACCAACGTTTTCAAGCATTTCTTAGTTTCAGATGAATCACTTTTATCCCCTTTTCTCTAAACGATTTTTTTACATCTCATTTTTTTAAAAAATGGCCTAAAATACGTGCTTCCCAATCAGATGTTGAAGGTCAAAGCAAGGTGAAAGGACATGATGATACACAGGGAAAAAGGAGATAAATTTTTAAAACATGGTAACGGCATTTAGAGGTCTATGAAAACAATGAGGAGTTCATGGATCAAGATTTCTGTGGAGGGAGACCCACTCAGAAACGAACTCACGATACCAGCTGTTTTCCCCCCGGAGACATTTGCCAGTTCTGAGCATGGCTGTTGTTTCTGGTTTGGCCTAGTAGAAGGCTGTTTTCAGGGGAAAGAGGAACCAGCAGTAGTTTAATGACCGAGCAGGTCTGGAATAACAAATTGGGGAGCCTCAAATACGCAGCTGGTTTTCACTAAGAGACGTGTGCTATATCCTGAGGCTGCACAGGGGCTGAAGGGCTAGGCTGGGAGCTTCAAAAACAGCCTGAGATTTTCCATGCTCTCACAGCATCCAGATACCATGAGGCTCCAAGGGAAGTTCTGAACATAAAACACCTATGAGGCAAAAGCCCTAGGGGGCACTGAACCAACAGGAAAGATCCAAAACTAAGACTGAACTGGGGCACCTGCTGCTCACGGATGTCCAGAAAATGAGAATATAGGAGCCAGCAATGGCCTGTGGCAAAAGGCTATTTCTGAAGGAGAGAGAAACCAGGCAAGAACTAGAGTTCTCTTGGCAATAGACATGTCTTTACCAAGACATTTACCAAATTAGATGCTGTTTGTGACCAAACAAACAAACTCATCTGTGAAAAATAACTGACTCTTTCTTAGTTTGGGGGCTTGGGATGATCAACACTGGCCAGCCTGCCAGTTGAAAAGCTGGAACATCGTGCCTCAGAAACAGGGGGACTCAGAGTCTTCAAAAACCTGAAACCCACACTTGACCAACTAACTCCCTGACTTGATGAGGTGGCAGGCTCCCATGATGATATCTACCAAACAAGTGGTTAAATTTCACCATCACCAGAGCTTCCAAAGATCTCTAATACATAGTCCAAAATATAACTAGAAATGACTAAACATGCAAAGAGGCAAGATTATATGACAAAAAGAAAATAAGGGAGAAAAACAAAAAGAAACAACTGAAGCTGTCCTCAACATGATCAATACACTGGAATTAAAAATAAAGAATAAACTGTGAATAATATATTCAACAATATTGCAAAAGATAAAGATGTAACAGATGCTAAATGATTACCACATAATTAAAATCTGTATAAAATATTTAAGTGATCATCTCAATCCAAAAAATATATCTGAAATACACAACCTCAATGAATAAATGTAATAGCATATTAAATACAACAATAGGAAGGAAAATGCGATCTGGAAGTCAGGGAAGTATTAAGTACCCAAACTGAATACCAAAGAAATTATAGAAGAAAAAGAAAGCACACAGAAGAGAGGGTAATAAAATGTGGAACATATCCAAAGTGAAATTGGGGTCTCAGTAAGAGAGAATAGAGAGAATGGCCAAAAGCAATAGCAGTGAGATAAAGACCAAGGATGTTTTAAAACTGATTTAAAAAAAAATCAAAATAGAGTTTAAGAGTCTTACTAGGAAAAATACAGAGAAATAATGCTTAACCACATCATAGTAAAACTGTTTAAAAACTGATACAGTTTGGCTGTGTCCCTACCCAAATCTCATCTTGAATTGTAGCTCCCATAATTCCCTCCCCATGGGAGGGACCCTGTGGGAGGTAATTGAATCATGGAGGTGGGGCTTTCCCATGCTGTTCTCATAATAGTGAATAAGTCTCATGAGATCTGATGGTTTTATAAAGGGGAGTTCCTTTGAACACTCTCTGTCTTGCCTGCCACCAAGTAAGATGTCCCTTTACTCTTTATCTTCTGCCATGATTTTGAGGCCTCCCCAGACATGTGGAAGTGTGAATCCATTAAACCTCTTTTCTTTATAAATTACCCCATCTCAGGTATGTCTTTATTTGCAGGGTAAGAACAGACTATTACAAAATCAAAAGTAAAATCTTAAAAGTTTCAAGTGGAAAAGCACACAAGGTCTTTAAAAGAGCAGCAGCAGGAATCACAGTGGACTTCTCAAGAGAAAAAAAAATCAGAAGCCTGAAGACAAAGTAATGATATTTTTTAAGTGAACAGGTCTTTGTGTGGACATATGTCTTCATTTCTCTTGGGTAATAATATGGTTTGGATCTGTGTCCCCGCCCAAATCTCATATGGAATTGTAATCCCCAGTGCTGGAGGTAGTGCGTGGTGGGAGATGATTGAATCACGTGACGGTTTCTCATGAATGGTTTAACACCATCCCCTTTGGTGTTATTCTCGTAATAGTGAGTTCTTGTGAGATCTGGTTGTTTAAAAGTGTGTGGCACCTTCCCCATCTCTCTTCTCCAGCTCCAGCCATATAAGATGCACCTGCTTCTCCTTCGCCTTCTGCCATGATTGAAAGTTTTCCTGAGGCCTCCCCTCAGAAGCTGTCATGCTTCTTGTACAACCTGTGAGCCAATTAAGACTCTTTTTTAATATAAATTACTGCTATAAATAGCAGTACATGAACAGACTATAATACAGGTAAATATCTAGAAACAGAATTGCTTGGTTAAATGAAGCGTTGGATTAACTTTACAAAAAACTGCCAAACTGCCTATATTCCTATTCCATGACTCAGCAATTCTACTGAGATCTAAGTAACAGCATTGTGTACATTTGATTGCCAGAAGACAGGCAGAAGAGTGGTTATAGGTTTACTAATTTTAATAGTTATAGACTGGAAACATTTCAATGCCAATCAATAGTAAATAGGAAAATAATTGTTAGGATGTTTACCTAATGGACTATTTTATATATACAGCAATTAAAACAAATGACCTACAACTATACACAACAATATGGACAAATATCACTAACATAATGTTCACTATAGAAGCCAAACACAAAAGAACACATACTGTAGGATTCCATTTCTGTGATGCTCAGAAACAGAAAAGCTAACTAATGCTATCAGAAGCCAGGAGGAGGGCAGAGGGTGGCGGCGGCAGACCAGAGCATCGGTTTTGTTTATTATCTGGGTGCTGGCTACATGATAGCAGCCCATCTCCTACAGGAAATGCCACAGAAGCCAATATTCAAGGTGTAAAATGAGTGAGGGGATGTTCCAGACCAAGAGAGCAGCATATAGAATATATAGAGGAAGGCAGGAGAGGGTGATACCCTTGAGAAGGTGCAAGGAGAGGCAGGAGGGCAATGGAGAGGCGGGCAGGGTAGGAGAGAATCAAGTTGACTGACAGACAGAGACTGACCCTTTGCCCCTGGTCAGTAGATGCTGCTGCTTCAAAAACCAGCAGCAGAGTATGGAAGGAAGAGGACAAACTTAGGAAAGAAAACTCAAGGCACTGCATAAGAATCAGATATATCTTCTAATAATTGAATGAATTGTCTTATCTTTCTCATTCGAATATAACTTTCTCTTCAGTCTATGGACTGTCTCTTTTGGATATATATATTTCAGTATAATATTCTGCACACTGTAAACACAAGATGACTACTTATACAACGCCTCACTGAGTTAGAGCTGGACATCTGTCTTGTGAAATACACTGTGATTATTACATACGCTAATGCTGATTCGATTCATGCTCTTTTCCCTGTCTGAGACACCTTTTCCACCTCACTACAACCTACCTGCCAGAGAAGTTTCTATTCATCCTTCAAATTCCAACAAATGCACAGTGCTTTGTCTCTTGCATTCCCGTAATGCCTTGCTCACCCTCCTGTGGGACATCTACCATGCTGTAGTATTTTTTTAATCAATTCATTCCGTAAGCATCATGGCTCATTCACGTTTCTATATTCTGGGCCTACCAAGGTGTCTGCTATCAAGTAGAAGCTCAATAAACTGGAAAGAAGTGTTGCAATCTCTTTTCCAGTTGCTGGCAAGAGAACAAGTGATATTTATTCTCGAATCTTAAGAAAAGTTATAAATTAAATATCCAGAGATACCATTAGATGACTTTTTGTCCTATCAATCAGATATTTGAGTAATAGTATAAAATAAACTTTAGTTAGCATTCTGTAAACCTGAAGTCATACATGGAAAAAATAATTTCAAATTTACAACACAATTGGAGATGATTACAGTATTTTAGGCTCAATCAGTTGCCCCTTAATGGAAGCTCTGAAAGGACTCATTCGGATAACTTTTCTATCTGCTGTTGCCTTTAAGTATTTTTTTATCCTTCCATGATGAGGCTGGGCAGGATCCAGTGATTATCATTGATTATGGAGAATTGAAAAGAAGAGACATTGAGAATATTCACTAGTTATGCTTATAACCAAGATGATTATTATAATCCTCAGAGGAAGAGAGTAATTTTTACCAGCAAGCAGCCAGGTGCTAGAACAATGTTTGCAGCATGTATGAATCAGCTTCACACTACTGAGCTTACCACATACTGGCACATTCAAACAGTGACTTAACAAGAATAATTTATTTAAAGAGTGGATCATAAGCTTCACACAAAAATGCTGTCACAAAAGTGTTTCGGCTTAAAATCAGGAAATTCATTTCATTCTCCAAATCATACAGGAAATCATGTAAGAAAACAACAGATCCATTAAAGAACAGAAACTTACTTCCAGTTAATTATTCCTGTAATCAACCATCCCTTTTCTGTAAGATTGGGACTCCTTTCTGCATGTTAACAACTTATTTCCCTTGTCATACCAATTGTAAAAGATTCATTTCTGTATTTCTAAGTTAATTATGAGAACTGGGTTATAAATTTCGAAGCTACCTAGTTCTTTAGTTATATGTAATAATTTTCAAACTTTTTTTGTCACAGGTACTCTTTTTAAAGTCTCATTTAGTTTCAGATGGCTTTTAATTATGCTCACAAACTATTTCTTTTCCAGGTTTAGTCTTGGATTTGTGTTTTTTCCTTTTTAATGACCACCACATGCGGCACTTTTCATGTATCCTGCTGGGCTCTTGAAGCCTCTTGACAGTGTTAATACTGATTCTATTAAAAGAACAGCATTTGGGACCACAAAAGGAAAATCTCCTCCTGTGAAAAGAAAAAGTATTTTGTATTTTGATGAGGGGTGACAAAATAAACTGTTACAACAGAAATGGCTTTTATAGTGATAAAGTCAGAAAAGCTACAAAGGCTCCAAATGTCAGACACACTAATAATCAACCTTTAAGTGGGACAGTGTGAGGGAAAAAAAAGGCAATTAAAATTTTGCCACCAGAATCTAGGCCATGATTAATTGATGGATGTCCATATTTACCTTTTCTCTTCAAATAACGTATCAATATTGCATTATTTTATTAGGTACCTTATAAATGTACCTGATAACTTGTAAAACCACAATACGTTCTTTCTGTGGATAACTTTTGACCCTGATCACTTCAGCTTTAAAGATTTAAACCATTATTTACAGTATACATTTTTCATCATTTAAGTCCTGCCTACCAGCTAGTCTAGTAATTTTTCATCAAAAAATAATTTCTTAAAAATCATATATGATTTTAATTGAAAATCACTTGTATATCAAATAAAATGTACTTTCTCAGAGACAAGTAAGTTGTGTATAGAAAGGAATAGAAATAGCATTAATTTAGTATCTACCTAAAGTTTCAAATATTATAATAGATTCAAACATATGCTCTATTGTATGATCTTTACAAAAATGTGAGAGCGTATATTATTATTTCCCTTCACATATGGGAAACTAAAGTTCAAAACTGTTAAGTGCTTTGCCTAAGGCTGTATGCTTTAGGCAGGTCCAGAACTAAGGAGTTTCTGCGTATTCTAACTCTGAAGCTAATTTTTTTTCACTACGGAAACTCGTTTGCTAATATAAATGCAGACTTTTTTTAAAAAAAAGCTTTATTTGGAAACATGATGAAAAATGTGATGTATTAATACTTACTGATACTCCAAGAAAAAAATAATAAAATATTTAGAAAGCTCCTCCCATCATTTCCTTTGGCTTTTTAACTCTACCAGATCTTTGAGAATGCATATTGTTGCTGGTTAACCAGATGAACCACCCTTTCCTTACTAGTTCTGCAAGATTCAATATCATTCATAGTCTCCAGCACTCTAGAGTAATCATTACTAGCTGTTAGGAAAATTATGGTATTTCCTAAAAACTTTCTTTGTGACAAGTGAATAAACCAAAAGGATTAAAAAAAAGATGTTCCAGTTTGGGAAAAATAATGCAATGAATACTGCATCTGATGCACCATTTAAGAAAGAGAGAAAATAAAAATGCTCATTTCTAATTGTCCTCATTTCAGCAGCTTCCCAAATATTCTTCTATTTCTTTCTTTTTAAGTAATTACCACATTTTCATATTTGCTGAATCATGAAGAAACCACCACATTATTTTGTCACCAGAGTGCTTTTGTTTGTTTTTCTTACACTCCATTTACAAAACTGCTTACCATTTGGGGGAGATTAGACTACTTACTTAATTATTTTCAATCTTCAGTTTTCTCATTGGTAAAATCCAAGCTATGACAATGATGACAATGATGATGACAATGATTCTGATGACGATGATAATAATGTCCCCTACTTCATAGAGGTAGTTGTGAAGATGAAATAGGGTGTGTACCTCCCTTAGTATGTGAGCTGGCACAAATGACTTCTCTATCAGTGTGTTACAGGAGGCAGAAAAAGAGAGGTATTCTTAAAATGATTGTCATAATGATAATTTTAAAAATTGTTGCATCATTATGCAATAATTTTGTATGTGTGTCTTAAATATTTGGTAATGCTTCAGATGATATCTTCTTAAGATCAAAGTAATTATCTGGAAAGATCTGCAAGAAGCTTCTAAATTTTAATTTTTCCATAAATTTTGACTGTGAGCTCAAAGGTCACAACATTTTTTAATTGATGACCTTCAATAGCTACATGAAGTTTTAATTTTGACCTAGTTTTAGAAAAGCCTAATAAAGTCTGAAGGGTTGTAGGGGATTACAATGTTAGCAGGGACTGATTACTTGCTGAAGATAAACTTATAGCAGGACCTGTCTGATGAAAACCCAGGATTACGGTAATGAAGGATCATCGTGGCAGTTCTCTGTTAGTCTAACCAGACATTACCTCCATGCTCCTAACACATCTACAAGGATCAGATAATTTCATGCCTTCTTGCGCCTATGTAGGGTGTTCTAAATTATAATATAAACCACAATAAAGATTAATTTTGCTTTTAATACTAATTACTCTTTACTATTATCTTATCTAGCAACTGAACACAGCTCTCATAGTTATTGACTTCAAATCCCAGATGTGGCAATTATTAATTTTACTCAGAAATTGTCAACTAAAGGAAAAAATGTATATCATTTATCTCTAATGTGTCTTATCTCTAAATAAAATCAAGTAATTCAGAGATACTGGTTCATTTGTGTATTATAATACAAGAAGCAAATATATGTATATATTTTCTTGGCTTTATCTGTGACAAAACTTGCATAAGCTGATATGACAATGAATTTGCATTCTAACACAACTCAAACACATTTATCAATAAACGTATATGTGAAGCTTTTACAAGAAGCAGCCAATCATGGAGAATTATCCCGTAGGGTCTAGAAAGTCAAAGTTGACCTAAATTTATGTTCTTATATAACAGGAATGCTCCCATAAGTTTTTAGTTCATTTTTGGGAGTTGGGTTTGTTTTTTTGTGGGGTGTGTATGTGTGTGTGGTCAGTCCCCATTTGAAGGGAAAGAGGAATTCTGCAGGTGAATTTTCTAAAAGTAAAATCCAAATATAGAGAAACATCAAAGCGTGTAAAAACTGTCTCAAACTTTGCAGCTACAATTTGAAAAATCATTAAACACTATTTGGAGCTGTAGGACTTTGAGAAACCCATGCCCATCCACACTCTGGCCTCTGTAAATTTCGGATTCCCCCACTTTGACATAGAAATGGGAAGAATTTTTTTAAATAATAGTAGCTCCTAGAGGCCAGTCACGGTGGCTCATGCCTGTAATCCCAGCACTTTGGGAGGCTGAGACAGGTAGATCACTTGAGACCCGGAGTTATAGACCAGAATGGCCAACATGGCAAAACCCCATCTCTACTAAAAATACAAAAAATTAGCCAGGCATGGTGGCAGGTGCCTGTAACCACAGCTACTCTGGAGACTGAGGCATGAGAATCACTTGAACCTGGGAGATGGTTTCAGTGAGCTGAGATTGTGCCACTGCACTCCAGCCTGAGTGGCAGAGCAAGATACCATCTCAAAAAACAAAAACAAAAACAAAAAAACCTCCTAGAAATAGATACCTGTAAACTAAAACTATCCTCAAAATAAAGTTTCCTTCCCAATATCATACAGTTGGAGACAGTAAGAACCATCTCCAAATGGAACATTACTATCATATTTGAAAAATAAGGAACAGAAGATTAATACAGGCTAAGGGTCTATACTGCTTCAGGCATTGAGCAAAGTGCCTTACTTTTGCTGCCTACATATAATCTTTCAAATTAAGTACTGGACCATTACCCTCATTTGAGAAGTAATAAATGTGAAGTCCAGGGAGGTTAGCTAATTTCCTCAAAGTCACACAGCTAATGAGTACACACACGCTCTGATTTCACTTTGTATTCTACATGGACTTTACAACAAAGTCCTTGATAGGAAGTATCTCAACAATAATGGAGAAAGGGTAAATATGTTTAGACAGAGCTCTCTTCTCAGAAATATATATTCTAACAACAAATGAAAAACAGAAATAGAGGAATGAGTAAAAGGAAATGTTTATCTCATCAAAAGTCAGGTTAGAGAAAACCGTGAAAAATTTACAATATGTGTTGTAAGGTCCTTTCTGGCTCTACAAATATCACTACTCCAAGTTTCCTAGTGTTCAACACAGATAAGTATAAGAACTATACAATGCTCCAATAACTCCCAGGAAAGAATGCCCTAGACTCAAAAGAAGCCAAGGTCAGGATTCCAGCAGTGGTAAAATCATGCACAACAAGGAGGTAAGAAATAAGACTAAAATACTGGGACACACTAAAGGTATAATAATATCACATTGTAGAATAATGCACTGGATGTTGAAAGCTCAGGTGTTAAGGTGGGAATTGACACAGGATCAGTCAGGGTGAGAACAAAGGCTCTCACTTGGAGTATGGTTAGTGGCCATGAAACATTTAACACGGTCACAGCTGGGCTCGCTTAAGGAATGGCAGCCCGGCAGTCGGATGTGAGGGCCCTGCTGTTGCTGGATCGCTTCCTTTCTGTCAGGCAATGGTTCTCAAAGTGCAATTCCTTAAACCAGAGCCTCAGCATCACTGGGGAACTTGTCAGAAATGCAAATTCTCACAGACCTACTGAGTCAGAAACCCTGAAAGTGAAACCCAGCAACCTGTGTTGTAACAAGCACCCCAGGCGATTCTGTTGCATGCTAACATTGAGAATCACTGGTGTGTGGAAAGCTGCAGTGCTAAAATGTTTTAATAACTCCATGCAGTCTAAAAGACAAAGTCCAAGCTCCCCATCATGGTGTATAAACAATGATTCTCCATGACTTGGTCCTGCCGTAGGCTCCAGCCTGACTTGTGCTTTCTCTCTACCTAACAATTGGCACTTGAGTTGTTTTAAACTATTGTAATTCCCCATATTCACATCGTTAGTTTCGAGTATAAGTCATTGCTCATACTATTATTTCTGTCTGCATTGTTCTCTCCTCCTCCCTCTTTCTTACTTAACTCTTATTCATTGTTAAAAATTTTAGGCAGATATCATCTCAGAAAGTAAACTTCGGTCTCTTTTTCCTACACTAGGTTGGGATATGGGACCCTCTTCCTTGACTCCATAATGCCCAATCTGTATTTAAAAACTAAGAAAATTATCCTCCTAAACAACTGAATGCCTTAAGGATCAGGACCCTGTTTATATTTTATCTATCTGCTCTATCAAAATGCCTGGCACACTATTGGTACCTTAATGATTAAACTGATTTCCTGCCATCATTGACATAGCCACTGAGCTGAGGATTTAAAAGTCATATATAAAAATTGGCATCTCAGTGATATATTTTACATAAAACCCTTAAAATAGACACTGCCATTCAACAAACATTAGCTAATATTACAGAAGCCTGAGAAAGTGTGGGTTTAAAAGTTTGTGATTAAATACTTAGTACCCCTTTATTAATAATTAAAGGTATAGATATTAGAAAAATGATATTGCACTCTGCAACTCACATTAGGAAAGTAATCTGACATATATGATAATATATATAAGGAAAGTATGCGCATATATGAGTATTTTATGTGACTTTGATTACATAATTTTAGTCTTTTTTAATCTGACAGCAGAAAAATGCAATCCAATTATTCTCTGAAGATAACACTCTACATAGGAAAGATATCAATAATCTTGCTTTTTGTAAGATGATCCTCATTCTCATTAGGTCAGGTTAAAGTTCAAAACCCTTAATGATAAAAATGTTCAACAAACTAGATATAGAAGGAAGATTCATCAACATAATAAAGCTTACATCTGATGAGTCCACAGCCAACATGATGCTCAATCTTGAAAAATTGAAAGCTTTCCCTCTATGATCAGGAACAAGATAATGATGCCCACTCTCACCATGTCTATTCAAAATAATACTGGAAGTTCTAGCCAGAGAAATTAGGCAAGAAAAAGAAATAAAATGAATGCAAATGAGAAAGGAAGAAGTAAAATTATCTCTGTTGATAATTATCTCTGATGATATGATCCTATATGTAGAAAACCCTAAAGATTCTACAAAAATATTCTTAGAACTAATGAGCAAGTTCAGTAAAGTGAAGCAGCATACAAAATATATTAAAATATACAAATCAGCATACAAAAATATATTCTTCCATGTATTAACAACAATCCATCTGAAAAGAAAATAGAGAAAATAATCTAACTTATAAATAGAATCATAAAGAATAAAAGGCTTAGAGATTAAGTTAACCAAGTAGGCAAAAGACCTGTACACTGAAAATTACAAATGAGAGAAATTAAAGGAGACACAAACAAAAGGGTATACAACCTGTGTTCATTCATTAGAAGATTCAATATTGTTAAAATGTCCATACCACCCAAAGCAATCTACAGACTGAATGCCGACTCCATCAAAATCCCAATGGCATTTTTTTTAAAGAAATGGGAAAAACAATACTAAAATTCATATGGGACAACAAAAGACACAAAAGAGCCAAAGTGATTTTGAGAACAAACAAAACTAGAGGCATCACACTTTCTAATTTCAAAATATATTACAAAGCTACAGTAATTAAACAGTATGATAATGACTGGCATAAAGACAGACATATAGACCAATAGAATAGAACCGAGAGCCCTAAAATAAACTCACACATATACAGTCAACTGATCTTCGACAAGGATACCAAGAACATACAATGGACAAGGGATAGTCTCTTCAACATATAATGCTGAAAAAATTAGCCACATGTGAACAAATGAAATATGACTGACTCCTATTTTATGTCATACAAAAACCAACTCTTAAATAATAAGACCTGAAATTGTAAAACTCCTAGAAGAAAACACAAGGGGAAAGCTCCATTTTTTTTTTTTTTTTTTTTGAGACGGAGTCTTGCTCTGTGGCCCAGGCTGGAGTGCAGTGGTGCGATCTCGACCCACTGCAAGCTCTGCCTCCCAGGTTCACGCCATTCTCCTGCCTCAGCCTCCCAAGTAGCTCAGATTACAGGTGTCCACCACCATGCCCAGCTAATTTTTTGTATTTTTAGTAAAGATGGGGTTTCACTGTGTTAGCCAGGATGGTCTCGATCTCCTGACCTCGTGATCCACCCACCTCAGCCTCCCAAAGTGCTGGGATTACAGGCGTGAGCCACCATGCCCAGCCTAGGGAAAGCTTCTTGACACTGGTCTTGGCAATAATTTCTTGGGTCTGACACCAAAATCAAGAGCAAGAGAACCAAAAAACAGACAAGTAGCATTACATTAAACTGAAAAGCTTCTGCACAGCAAAAGAAACAATCAACAGAAGGAAAAGGCAATTATGGAATGAGAAAAATATGTGTACTATCCACATATCTGATAGAGGGTTAATTTCCAATATGTAGTTAAGACCTAGAACTCAATAACAAAACAACAACAAAACAAAAATGATTTTTAAAATGGGCTAAGAACTTGAATAGACATTTCTTCAAAGACATATAAATGGTCAAGGTCAACAGGTATGTAAAAAAATGCTCAACATCACTAATTGTCAGGGGAATACACATCAAAACCACAAGGAAATATCATCTCACATCTGTTAAGATGGCTATTATTTTTAAAAACCCCAAAAGATAACAAGTGTTGATGATGTAAAACTCTTGTATACTGTTGGTGGTAATGCAAAATGGTGCAGCTATGGAAAGCAGTGTGGTGGTTTCTCAAAAGATTAAAAATAGAAGTACCACATAATCCAACAATCCCACTTTTGAGTATTTATTTAAAAGAATTAAAATCAGATTCTCAAAGATATACCTGCACTTCCATGCTTATTGCAGCATTATGCACAATAGCCAAGATATGGAAACAACCCAAGTGGCCACAGAAAGATGAACAGATAAAGAAAATGTGGTATATAAATGCAACAGAATATTATTCAGCCCTAAAAAAGAAGAAAATCCTGCCACTTGTGACAACATGGATGAACCTGGAGGACATTCTGCTAAGTGAAATAAGTCTGTTAGAGAATAATAAATACTGTATGATTTCCTATGAGATATCTATAATAGTCAAACTCATGAAAGCAAAGAATACAATAGTTCTTGCCAGGAGCTGAAGGGTGGGGGAAATTGGGAGTTCATTGCATCTAGAGTTTTAGTGATGCTGGATGAATAAGCTCTAGAGATCTGCTGTACACAATAGTGCCTAGAATGAATGTGAAGCAGGTACCCTGTGCTCTAGTTCCCAGTTTGTCTGAACAGATTCAGACAATGAGTTACACGAAGTAGATTTATTCCTTAAGGACAAGCAGCAAGGGACAACAGAAGCCCAGGTAGGATTCAATGCATGCTCACCCCCCTAGGGCTCAGTTAAGCTGCTTAGGGTGAACAGAGGCATGTGCCACTTGCACCCCAGCTGAGTGACCCCCAAAGGCAGCCCACCCTGGGCTTCATACCCTACATTACATGACTCACTGGAATAAGCATGCTTTTTCTAGTGAGACACTAAAACAGCCTGGTGATATGGTTAGGCTTTGTGTCCCCACCCAAATCTCATCTTGAATTATAGTCCCCATAATTCCCATGTGTCAAAGGAGAGACCAGGTATAGGTAATTGAATCATGGAGGCGGTTTCCCCATGCTGTTCTCATGATAGTTAGTTTTCATGAGATCTGATGGTTTTATAAGGAGCGGTTTCCCCTACTGCCATGTGAAGAAGATGCCTTACTTCCCCTTTTCCTTCTGCCATGACCGTAAGTTTCCCAAGGCCTCCCCAACCATGCTGAACTTTGAGTCAATTAAACCTCTTTCCTTTATAGATTACCCTGTCTTGGGAAGTTCTTCATAGCAGTGTGAAAACGGACTAATACACCTGGGCTATTCTGTCATTGTTCCCTATCTCAGAATATTGTATTCCCAGTGCATTCTACATTTATTCTTGACAACTACAGAGTGAGAAATAATTTTTAAATTATGCAATTCTGTTGGTGTAAAAAAAAATTTAGAGTAATCCATAGGGCATGGGAAAATATTTACAATGCCTAATTCTAACAAAGTGCCCATATCCAAAATAAATAACTTTTAAAAATTTCTATAATGCAAAAACAGAGACAGGGAACTCCACAGAATGAAGATCAAAACAACTGAAGAGGTACCTTACAAAGAGAAGCTTCAAATGCCCAATAAACATATAAAAAGGTGTTGAATATTATTAATTACAAGGGAAATGTAAATTAAGACCACACTGTAATATACCATTACAAACCCACCCTAACGGCTGAAATTAACAGGCGGAAAATACCAATTGTGTTAAGGATGTGGAGTGGTACTCGGAACACTCATATACCACTGCAGGAGTATAAACTGGTACAACCAAACCAATTAAACTAAATCAACTAAACTATTTGGTAATATCTACTAAAGCTGAACATATGCATGTTGAATGATTTATTGATTCTACTCTAAAATATGTTCTTACCAGAATGTGTACAATCTTTACCAAAACACATGTACCAAAATATTCAGCACAGCACTATTTGTAATAACTCCAAAATGTAAACTACATAAACTGCCCATCGACGACAAAATTGATAAATTAAATATTCATAATAGGCCCTACTTAAATGAGAATGAAGTAAGTCTAACTGAGAACAATCACAGAAATTAAACAAAATAATACTAAGTGGAGAAATTCAGACACAAAACAGGACATATGATAAAGTTTTATCTATAAGTTGACAAATAGGCAAAACCAATCTCTCGCATCTTAAATCTGGACAGCACTGAGTACCATGGAGAGAGTGACAGGATGCTGTAATGTGTTTCCTGACCTGGGTTTCTGGTTACACACAGATATTCACATTGTAAAGGTCAATTGAACTGAACATATAGTTATGCACAAATCTATAGATATTTTATAATTTAATAAATTTGTAAAAGAAAAAAATGAAAGTGGCGTGACTTGGAGGAAAGAAATTTGGAATAAAGTCAAGAATCACACATTCTAGTAATAAAATTTCTATAAGAGACTAATTTATCCTTTGAGACTTTCAGAAAATAATTTATCCTTTTCCATTCCTAGTTATTTGACTTCTGAATGGGATGTGAATCATATGGACAGGTGTATTTTAGGAAGAAGTGAAGAGAAAGCAGTATCAAGGCTTGAGTACTTGCATCATTCAAATAAATGCAAGAAAATATTTGGAAATTAAAGCTTTTTCACAGAAAGTAGATTTTGGGATTAACAAAGACATATATATATATATAATATCAACACTTAAACATATAGGACTGTCACTCTGGTTCAGACCAAGAATAACATGCAGACTTCTGTCTGACCGCTGGTATAACGCAAACCTGTAGCGTAGAGGTGGGTCAGACAAGAGCTTAAGAATGTGGGCTAAGGGTAAGAAGTAGCCTTCTTGGTTCTGCCCTTGGGAGATCTACTCGGCTATTCACCTACTCTGCTCACATCTTAGAATTCTATGCTACTTGAATGACCTTGGACTTTATTTCCTCTTCAAATCTTACCTGTTTTGTTATTTAACTTTATTTCTTATTCTATTTAGCTATTCTACTTTCCAAATTTTAATTGAATTTATTTTTTATTTTTTACTTAGTGTTCCTGGTTTTAAAAAATGCTTGTTCTTAATCTTGTATACGACTTCCTTTCATCATTTAGTCATATGTTTTTAAAAAGTACATTGAAATTATTTTAACTTATTCTAACCTTCATACTTCCTATTTTTTATGGTGAAATTTTCCTCCTGAGAGTTTTATTACCTATTTCTAGCATTATCATGCATCCATTTTTAGATGCATTATTTAGGTTTTTATTAACTTATATGATCTTTTTAATATCCTTATTTTATTATCTAAGTTATTTTTATATCCCTAAATTATTTTAATGAGGTCCTCAATTTCTCAAGAAAAATTAAGTGTCTGGAATTTTGGTTGGCTTTTCACTGAATGTATAGATTAAAACAAGAATATACAGCAACACTGAGTCTTTTGGTCTAAGAACATGGTATATTTCTCCTTTTCTTTAGGTCTTCTTTATTTTTTTAAGAAATCTGTTATAGTTTTCAGTATAGAAGTATTGATCACCTTTTATTAAATTTATCCCCAGAAACTTTGACTACCTAGTGAAAGTTGTCTACTAAACAATCTGCAGTTTACATAGCATCTAAAGATGAAAGATTGAATGTTTTCCCCCTAAATAGAGAAAAAGGCAAGGTTATCCACTCTTACCACTACTATTCAACATATTACTGGACAAACTAACCAGTGCAATATGACAAGAATAGGAAATTTAAAAAAGGAAACCATACAGAGGGAAGAGGAAGAAATAAACCTGTATTTACAGACTACAAGATTGTTTATATAGTTAACCCCAAAGAATATGAAAAAAAGCATTAGAACTAATAAATTATGTTAGCAAGGTATAAGATACAAGATCCACAAACAAAAAACAATTGTATGGCAATGAAAATAGAAAATTGAAATTCTAAGAGATTCCTATTAATAATAGAAACAAAACTATGAGGTTCTTAGGTATAAATCTAATAAAATATATGTGCCAGATCTGTATACTAACAATGATTAACAGTGAAGAAAAAAAGGAAGAAGAAGACCTAAATAAGGGATATAGTGTGTTCGTAGTTTGGATGATAATTCTTGCAAAATGTTAGTTCTCTCCAAATTTATATAGTCCATGCAATTTCATTCAAAAGCTAACAGAATTTTTGTAGAAATTGATCAGCTAATTCTACAATGTAATGAAAGGATAAGGGAATCAGAATAACTTTTAGAGTATTCAATAAAGAATAATATTGGAAGATTTATATTGCCAAGTTTCAAGATTTATAATAATGTTACAGTAATCAAAACAGTGTGTATTGATGAAAAAATAAATGTAGATTAACAGAACAGAACATATCTAAAAATGGACCCCAAAATACTTGGCCAGGCAATTTTTTTACAATGAAAAACAATTTAATGGAAAAACGATAGTCTCTTCAATAGTGGTACTGAAAAAAATTGGGAATTCTACACTCACACAAAAGGACCTCTACAGCTCCCACAACATTAAAAATAAAATTTAAAATATGAAAATAGAACACAGATGTAAATGTAAAATCTAAAATAGTACAATTTTTAAAACAAAACATAAGAAAAAACTTTTTGGTATTGGGTTAAATAAAAATTATTCTATATCCCACTAATAGCATAATCTGAGGTCTAAGCTGAGGGTAAAGGAAGCATGAATATAAAAAGAAAGGGAAATTACAAATATCAGCTACAACCTTACGGCTAGTTACATAAATGTGGACTATAATATCCATGTATATTTTCTTTGTTGATTACATGTGTACGTGTGTCCATCTGTACATATTAATATGTATTCATCTCTCCCCACATTCCTTTATTGTATTTTACAAGCTTTGTTCTAGCTTACCTATACAATTTATCTTTTGGGTAACATAATATTTAGATGGGACTATGACTGAATTTAAACAGTAATTAACATACGCCAGAGAGGGACAGTATGCTTGTTCAGCAAGACAGATGGTTGAGACTTCTTGTCTCCTCATTATCAGAAGAGGGTGAGAGTGTCTTACATTGCGTGAATGATCACTGTATCTCATTATGCATAATCATAGAATTTGGGGTAATTTCCAATGTGTGCACAAAGTGTCAGTGCTAGGTGGACAAAGAGGTGGACGGCACTAGCTATTATATTAGGCTACTGTCTTTAGAAATGTGAGGTCCTGCAAATTGCATTCTGCTTTGCTATCTAACTTGTTAGACTCTGCTAGGCAAGCAGAGCAGTGCTTGGTGCTGGGGGTGCTGGGAGGAGAGGCTACAGGCAGGAGAAGGGAACCACCCTTCCTCTTTGCTCATGGTTCCTACCAGTGCAACTCAGCTTTGCTTCTTCATATGGTTTATATTAGTTTTCTATTGTCGTTTAATAAAATACACCAAAATTTACTGGCTTAAAACAAAAAATATTTTATCTCAAAATTTATTTTGGTCAAGGAAGTAGGCTCAGCTTGGTTGGGTGGTTCTGAGGTAGGAGGAAAGACTGGACTCCAGAGGCAGGGCTTGGACACTAGACCAAATTGAGGACTAGCTAAAACAGGTCGAAGGTGGAAGCAGCTTTCCATAAGATATGCCCACCACTGTGCCATGTCACTTTCCCATTGCCATGGCAACTCCCAGAAGTTACCGCCGCTCCTTTTCATGGCAATGATCCTGACAATCCAGAAGTTGCCACCCTTTTCCTAGATATTTCTGCATAAACCATCCCTTATTTGCATATAATTAAAAATGGGTATAAATCTGACCACAGCATTGCTTCTGAGCTGCTGTTCTGGGAACACTGCCCACGGGGTAGGCCTGCTCCACAAGAAGCAGAACCTCTGCTGCTGTGCATGGCAGCTTCAGTAAAAGCTCCTGTTTAACATGACTGGCTGGCTCTTGAATTCTTTCCTGGGCAAGCCAAGAACCCTCCCAGGCTAAGTCCCAATTTGGGGGCTCACCTGCCCTGCTTCAGTTCTGACTCAGGGTTTCTTGTGAGTGTCAGTAAGGGCTGCATATTTACCTGAGGCTGGAGGATCACTCAGGGCTCTCAGGAGAAGGCCTAAGTTTCTTGCATGTATACTTTTCCATGGGGCTGCCTAAGTGAGCTTACTACACAGAAATCATCTTCCCCCAGGGCAAATTATCTGAAAGAAAGGGAGAGCAGGCACACATGAGAGAGCATGCTGTGAGGGTGCTATGCTGATGTTAGTGACCTGCTCTCTGAAATCATGCACTGTCATTTCTGGTCTATTCTGTTTGCTACAAACATGTCATTAAGTCCAGCCTATACTCAACAGGAGGGAAACTAAACACTACTGCCTAAAAGAGGGAGTAAATATCAAAAAATTTGTGAACATATTTAAAGACCACCATAGCAGCAGTGGCAGATGTATCCTGAAGCAAAAGTTGAATCAGTTTGCAATGTTTCCATAGGTACAGAATCAACCTCATCATAGCCCTTAGGGAGACCAGTACCAGCTAACCAGTGCCCTATCTTGAGAAGTCTAGGGTCCTAGTCCCATAGGACCTCTTCTTCAATCCAATAAGTCTGATAAGTCTCTGTCTCTCTTTCTGTTGAGTTTCATTTCTGCAAGCAACCTTCTTCATCCTCTAAATTTTATTAATTAATTTATTTATTTATTTATTTATTTTTCAACAGTCAAAGACAGGTTTATTTTGGAGAATAAACCTGAGAGGGGCTTCTGGTCAATTTTGGCCAGGAGCATTCTCTTTTACAGACTAAGAATATTTAAGGGTTCAGGGCGAGAGGGCTTATCACAGGCTTGGAATATTTCTGTGTCAGGGAGACATCTTCTAAATTTTAATAGTTCCAACCTCTTCCCTTCATTTCCTAAACATGTTGAGGGAGTATCTGCTCTCTGTATTTAATACTTCCACGATATTTTAGTGTTTTCTTTGTGCCTTCCAGTTATCCATTAGTTATTTCAATCTACCTAACAAGCCTTTATACTAAAGTATCTTTTTTAATGATGATGTGGTGCTACCTCCTGACTAGACAAGGACTGAAACAGAGAAATGAGTCTTCTGTGTCTATTAGAAATTCTCTGGCCATAACCTTAATAGCAGTTCATTTTGTCTAAGTCTATTAAAACCATGTTCTCTTCCTTTCCCCAAAAATATCCAGAAATATGTTCTATTAAATTTTTTAGAAATCAAATATCATTTAACCTACCAGTTTTGTTTTTAATTTTCCTTATATTTTTAATTCTTTTTAGGGGAGAGAAGTCTAGTTTCACTGAAAATGCTTAAATCACTTATTCAAATCTTAGCTTGAATATGGGCATCAATTTTAGCGTCAACTTCACCCCTTTTTATTTTATTTTGCCATAGTAACTACAAAAGTAAATTCACCTTGTTCCAGATCAAAAGCGATGCTCCTATATCCAAAAAGATCTGTAAGATATTCCCATCCAGAAAATTCAACCAAATATCAGTAGTGCTGAATAGCATCTCTTCTCTGACAAAAAGTGATTTGAATGTTTTAATACATTATGTGCATTTCCAAGTGACCACAGGAAATTTGTGAGAGAACTGAAATTTGTTTTGCTCTTTCCTCTCAACTTCCTTCTGAGTCTTCCCAAGCCCTCCTGGGCTTTCCAGCTGTGTCTCTTAGCATTCTCTATCCAAAACCCAGTTTGCTATGTGCATGTCTTCCACAGTCCAGCTCTATTCCAGATACTGCTGACATGCATGAAGGGGAGATCTGCCCACTCTTACAAAGACAGGATGTAATTCATCCTATTCATGGTACTGAGTTTGGAAAGATCTTCATTTAAACTATGGAAAATACATAAAATTGCAAGGGAAATCCAAATGGCACTGGAATCCCCCAGCATGGTGACAAGCGTGGCCTCCTATTTGAGGCTGCCCACAAAGAGTTTGGTAACAAAAGATGCACTGGAGTTGATGGTAGGAAGTTGATTAACACTGTAGACTTAATGTCTGTGGCTATTTAAAATGCAGAGCCTATTGTTAGGTCAGTGGAAACCAGACTAAACCTGTTGTCTCTCAGGTGAGAAGTGCATAAGCAATGTTATTTCATGAACTTCTATTCTTACAGTATGTGGAAAAGAACTGTAAATACTTTAAAGGAAATCAACAAATTCAAACAAACAAAAATCAAGATTTCTTCAAATCAGTCTCAGAATTTCTTTGGAAGAGAAATTTTATATGATAAAAAAGAATTTGATAAATCCTTGCCTTGCGGACATAGCCACACATGAAGAAGTTATAATATTCCTGAAAGACACCCTTGTAAAATGGATATAAAGACTGGATTTCATTGTTTACTTACTGTTATGGACTGAATATTTGTGTTCTCTCAAAATTAATATGTTAATACCCTAATCCCTAGCATGATGGTGTCTGTAGATGGGGCCTTTGTTAAATAAGGTCATGAAAAGAAATTAAATTCTTACTTCACACCATACCAAAATGAATGACAGGGAATTCACCAACTAAAATGTGAATGACAAAACTTTAAAATTTCAGAAAATATAAACAAATATCTTAATATCCATCTGAGAATTAGAAAAAGTTTTCCTATAGGTTAATTCCAGCACTTTGGGAGGCTGAGGCAGGTGGATCATGAGGTCAGGAGATCAAGACCATCCTGGTTAACACAGTGAAACCCCATCTCTACTAAAAATACAAAAATCATCCGGGCATGGTGGCAGGCACCTGTAGTCCCAGCTACTCGGGAGGCTGAGGCAGGAGAATGGCATGAACCCGGGAGGCAGAGTTTGCAGTGAGCCAAGATCGCACCACTGCACTCCAACCTGGGTGACAGAGCGAGACTCCATTTCAAAAAAAAAAGGAAGAATGCTCACTCCCTCCTCTGCACCAACCCCTCTTGCCGTGTGAGGAGACAGGGAGAAGGTGGCCAACTGCAAGCCAGTAAGGGAGTCCTCAAAAGGTACCGAATCAGCAGGTGCCCTGATCTTGGACCTCCAGCCTCCAGAACTGTGAGGAATAAACATCTGTTGTTGAGCCACTCCTCTGTGGCATTTAGTTATAGCAGTCCAAGCTCACTAAGATGCTACGGTCTGCACAGATCTGCAATGTTGCCCATTTTGCTACGTGTGATAAAGATTCCTGTAAAAACAGAGTCATTAACAAGCGGCTTGATGATCAAATAATTGGAAAAAAACATATTATTTTAAGAGACAATATTGATCAGGTCAAGCCTGTGATGGGTAAGACTGTAGGGGCGGTTAACCCAGACAGAGGTCACTGTGCTGTCGAATACTGCACCAAGCACTACCTTTTCAAAAGATCTCTTCAATTTAAAGTGCGCGGCCCTTACCTTCTGAAGTGTTAAAAATGGTAAACCTGAACAAAGTAAAAGAACAACAACAAAAAGAGATGGTGGTTCAAATACTACGTTTAAAACACATTGCAGGGAAGTCAACGTGGATTTTGAATGGTTCCTTCTTTGCATGCCCTTGAAGACAGTGGTTGTAGTTCTCAGACTCCGAGTTAATTGTTTTCCCATGAAACAAAAAAGGCATCCTGATAGACACCAATACAACCTGGACAAGGAGAAGGATAAATTCATCCTAACTGTGAAGTGTCTTCCAGTACATTAATTTATTTAGCTATTTTTTTTAAAGGCTGGCTCCCCTGAATTAGTAAATCCAAAGCAATACTCCCAATGTATTTTAAATGTACACACAACATAACTGCTATAAAAACAAAATTTGAGACTATAATACTATTATTACTGCTGCTGAAGCTACAACTACTAATTCATATTTCTTACACTTGATCTTAGCCAAAAGGCCGAGAAGCAATTACTAATTCGTATTTCTTAAGACTTCTTAACAGAAGCCAGAAACTATGTTAAGCACTCTGTATGCATCATTTAGTTCTTGTAACATTATAAGATGTGACTTTTATTATCTCTAGATCAGGAAACTTCAGTGAAAGGTGGTCACATGGCCAGTCAGGAATCCAGCTGTTTTTCTATTATTCCTAACCCCTGGTCTTAGGCACTGTTTTCCTTGAAAAGAGTTCCTTCGTGGAACCAGCAAAGGAGACTAGGAAAGGAATCAGACTAGAAAAGGAACCAGAAAAGGAATCTAAAAGGAGACTCTTATTTAATAAAGGAACCTAAAAGGAGACTCTTATTTACTACAGAGAAATATAAGGAATCATGTTTTCTAGGAAAAAAAAAAAAAAAAAAAACAGTCTTTGATGAACCTTTCTAAGAAAGAGTCAAAGAGCTGATGAGGAAACAGACGAACTTCCCAGATGCTGTATCACATTATTCCGACCTCCTCAGCGACATTTCTACAGAAGTTCCACCAACTTGAAAAGGTGTTGGCCTGGGAGACCTTCAGAAGCATTATCAAAGGATACCACTGACAAACCATAAGCTATGTCCTCCCTGCAAGAAAAAAACAGGTTATACGAAGCTCCTTGTGCCTCTTCCAATAAGATAAACTGCATATATGCAGAGAATGAGGAGAAATAATGCTGTTTGCAAACTCAGACTTAAATCCTCTTTGACTTAAAATCCTGGTTTCATTACTTTTGGTGGATATGTACTGTATATTCCTCCAGATAGATTAGGAAGAAACTTGTACTTTTCTACTCCAAATATGGCAAATGTTATGATTAGATATTATCATATGCTCATGATTTCAGCAATGGAATTAAAGATTTCAGAATACCCGTTCCATAGAAAGGACTTACACTTAGCAGATCCTTCCAGCGAGCAAAACCTCGTCAAAGTCTCCAAATTCCCACAGAAACTGCATACCCTGGGGCTCAAGACCCTGTAAATGACTGAAGATTCTCACACTCACCCAGAGGCAGGAGGCAAAGTGCATAACTAGCTATTATTTGGTTATTATACTGATAGGGCATAGAAAGTGTTTAAATGTTCTGATTGATTGCTCTTTCCATACATTTTATTGCTCTGAAAAAGTGCCCTAAAATACGCAAGTCCAAAGAGAAAACAAATTTCTAATTCTGGGCAACATTCTGATCTTTCTGTCCTAGAATGTATTTCAAAAAAAGAGTCAACAAAATGGTACTAGCTATATAAAATATAGATTTCATATTCATGAGAGGCTCAAGTCTTGAAATATTGGGACAAATTGAGAGGAAAATTATTGCTCATTGAACTCAACTCGTGGTACTTTTCATGAATTTATTCCTGAAAAGGTAAATTAAATGTATGACACTCATCCCTTTCAAACCAGAAAGATAAACCATTTTTCCAGTCTTTTTTCTGATTGTTACTATTGTGAAATATTATTTTCTATAGATCTTTTATGGAATAGGATCCAAAATTTAAAATGATTTTAAAAATCAAGTACAAAACTTTAAATAAATGTCAGACTCTTAAACACTTCTAGAGGCCCCGACACCACCCTCCAACCCTGCCCAGTTGGAAGCATTTGCTCCCCTCTGACATGAAGGATGTTTTGATGAAAGATTGAGCAGCATCAGCTATAGTAACATTAGCTTCTCACCCACTTGGGAGACTTCTCTTACAAAGATGGAATCCAACAGACAACATAGGTACTCATCTGCTCCTCTTCTTAGCAGTATTTGACCCTGTTGATCAAATTTCTCTTCTTTTTGGTTATTCTTTTCCATTTTTTCTATGAGATGTGCCCTCAGTGTTTATGTTTCCCAAGTCTTCGCTCTCTCTTCTTCTTCTGAATATCTCTTTCCTCAACCCCCAACCCTTGTGACCACACATGTGACCACATCATTGTAAATGTTCGGATCATCTGCAATCCAGACACCCTCTCCTGTCCTGGCACCTCCTTTCCTTACAGCTTACCTGCTGTCCTCTGCCTGCTCTACCATTTTTTAAATCTCACTCAAATCCTCATTGCACTGATTTTATCAATTCATCACTATATTACATGTCCCTATGTTCCCACTTTCCTCCATACCCAAAATATGTCCCACGGTCCCTCATAGTAATTATTTCTTTGCAAACACACTTCAATCCTTCACTTCTGCCTCACTACACAGAGCCTGCGTGATTCAGACTCAACCTCAGTTAAATCCAACCATGAACCTGCTCCATCCCCGCACACAGCACTGAGCATCTCCCTCTGCAATAGCTGCTGTTTCCCCCACCTTTTGTTTTCAGTGGAGAGCCTTCATTGCACTCCCTGCTTTGAGCATTAAGTGCTTTTGCTATTTCTGGTTAAGGTATCCTAGGTATTTGTAGGAAACTCTTCAATTTATTAATTTATTAATAGAAATTTAGATATTTATAATATAAATGGCATAATATAAATAATACAAATGTATTTATTAAAAGTCTTTGCTTTATTAACTTATCAGGGGATTTTTGTTTTTTGCATTTTTCCACCCCATTTTCCAGGCTACAATGAAAGAAATAAGATCTCCCTGATGTCTATCAAAAAATGACTGAAACTATGTTTTGCTCTTGTGTTTGGACAGACTTTCTTTCTTCCTAATAGCCATAAGATATAATAAGGTGAATCATACTTCCAAAACGAAAACAAGCTTTTAATAGTATAATTTTACTATACTTTGAGCATCACAAAAGTCTTCTGATTGGAGTGTTTCTGGCTAGGAAGATACATTAAAACAAATATATTTATCAAAAAGAACACTTCAAATGATTACTGGTACTGGATGGAACATTTTTCCCTTTCCTGCTTTTTACCTCCTCATTTCATTTTCTTTTCTCTCAACTGTTGACCAATTTTGAAGACATGAAAATATGGAAAGATTTGACGTCTACTCTATTTCCAGTTCTCTATTACTCTTCTAGTGATTTTTGACAATCAACCAAACTAAGCCAGGTCTCAGGATATACAGCCAAAGTGTCAAATCATTACTCCATTTAGTTAACCTTTTTTGCAAGATCTTGGAGAGCTTCTATAATGTTCACTTACATTTGGTTATATAAAGTTAGGATCTAGGATGCACTGAGGGTCACACTATAGATTTAGAGGTTAATCCATCCAACCTCTTCATATTGCAAATGAGGTAATTATGCTAGACAAGGGACTTGGTGGCAGTGGGAGGGTGTCATGGCAGGAGCCAAAGCCCAGGTCTCCTGACAGCCAGTCAGGAGCCTTTTCATTTCATTCCAACCATTCCTAACTAGAAACAAAACAGATTTGCTTTGCAGTTGGAAATATAAACAGTAGAAATCATGAGTACAATTTGACAGTACAAGTGACTTTTTCTACGTAAGCTCATAAACTAAGCTCAAATAAGCTCAATAATTAGTGATTGTTGTTTAACAGAAAATCTAGAAGAGCAAGCTGTTTCCTCTTGTAAATTTATGTCATGAAGTAAACTTCACTTGTAGCAAATGTCTTCGCATTGATACATGTCAATAATTCCCTGCACCACACTTCATCATCCACACTCGTGGAATTGACAGCTCAAAGCAAATCTGACCTGTCATTATCTGGGCAGACATCTCTATTAGCTCCAGAGTCAAAGTTCATTAGCCTCAAACCCAGGACCTTCCTGGGGGGTCACCAGCCTCCCTGTCAAGGGTGCATGGCCCTCCCTTCCCTGCCGCGCGCACACATGCACTGCCCACGCTGTGTCTCAGGCAGCGTCTCCCTCTTTATGGAGCACGTTCCACTGCTTTCCCAGCTCCTCATTTTCTGAGAACACTTCGATGCAGGTACAAAAAGCAAATAATCAAACTCTTTTTTTTTCCCAAAATGAAGATAGCTTTAAACCTTCAATTATGAATATTTTATACAATTAAAAATGTTTTTGTTTTTGAGATGAGGTCTCACTATGTTGCCCAGGCTGGAGTGCAGGGGCATGTTCACAACTCACTGCAACCTCTGCCTTCCAGGCTCAGGTGATCTTCCTGCATCAGCCCACCATGTAGCTGGAACCACAGGTGCACTCCACCACACCTGACTAATTTATTTTTTTGGCATATTTTTTAGAGATGGGGACTCACCTGATGTTGTCTGGACTGATCTCGAACTCCTGGGCTCAAGTGATGTGATCACCTAGGCCTCCCAAAGTGCTGGGTAGCATGAACTACCACACCAAGACTAAAAATGTATTTTTTTAGAAAAGTGATAATCATTTGTAGTTTTCATAGATAATCAGAGTTTTCATGTTGGGAACGTCTTTCCAAATGTTTTATACACATATTTACACAGAATTACAATAGAGTGGTTTTCTCATACAGAGAGCACCTTTTCCCTGTAAAATTCTATCCCATGCTCTGCAGTGAGAATGAATACTAATCTAATTGGTAAAATTCTAGGAAACTCATTGGAGGAAGTTTCACTAATGAACTGGTCACTGCATGTTATGAGGCCCCTAATGTAGGTGTGTCTCTTCGATCACTCTCCTGCCTCCTCATCTGTGCCCTTAGCAGTCACACGGTTAAAAGTTTCCCGAGATGGGAAGAGGCCAAGCCATTTCATTTGTCTGCATTATAAGCAAGGATATTACTTTTTTGGATTTCTGTTCTTTGTGTATCTGGAAGGTGGTAAAATATGGTGCTGGACTTAGAGAGAAGGAGAATATCTCCACAGCCTCACTCCAATCCACCCTGGTAAGCTGTCAACATCTATGTTTATTTGTTTAGTCATGAAAGCAAACTCAAGATTTCTAACTCAGAAATTAGGCAATTACTTACAGCAATAACCCTGCCAACTCCTCTTGCATCAACTGCCCTGGTGCAATATGATGAGGGCAAATGTCAGCTGCTTATGGCAGGAGGCTAGGCATCCGGACTGTGGGAGAGGACCCCAAAACTATGACTCTGGGAGCTTATGCAGTAGTTGGAAAGTCCACTCCTCCCTTCCAACTAGTGAGAGAGAGAAAGACAGACAGATACGGAAACAGAGAGATGGAGTGGGAGAGACAGAAAGAGGAAGAGAGGGAGAGACAGACAGATGTAGACAGATAAAGATAAAGGTAGAGAGTGAAAAAGAGAAAGAAAGGAAAAGACAGAGAGACAGGACAGAGAAAGATAGAATGAGAAAGAGAGAGGCAAAAGAAAAAAACAGAGAGAGAGGCTCTGTGTTACTTAAAACATAAACAGATCTCTCTTGGTTGAAGAGGAGATGACCCCTGCCATGGAAAGCGAGAATTTGGCTTTGGGATGGTGACTAAATAACCTTCAGCATGGGAGCCAATGACGGCCACAACACCCTTAGAATGTGAGGAGCTGAGGGGTCATCCTTCCCCTGTCATTCCAGTAACCAGCTGCCCAGAAAGCCCTGCATGCAGTCTCCTGAATACACTTTCCCCACCGTGCTCACCACCGCTGCAGACCCACACACTCAGTCCGGCTTGCTAAGGCTGTGCACGGGAGCGATGGTCAGTCAGCACTCATGCACTCCTGGGTCTCTTGAATCTGATGCTGCTCCAAAAAGCCCCAGTGACACCTATTTCTATAAAACGTGGCTAATCGGTACTATTTTGACCTCTGTTTCAATTGAGGCCTCAACACTAGAAACCATACAATGGATGTATACACCTCTACATCCTAAAATGAGGCAGGAGGCCACCTATATGGGGCAGGTGGGAAGATGTGAGAAGATGACACCAGCCCGGTACCATGTTACAGCATCATCATTGTCATTGTCATCACCATTGTCACAGTCATAATAAAGCATTCTCTCTCCCATTTCTTTCAAATACTACCTTTGTCATGTTATAAATTATTATATTGGGGGCTTTTCTGAGTTTTCTAGTATTTCCATTCATAGTCAATTTGCTGCTAATAAAGATTGTTTTAATTTTTGTGTCTTTATAATATGCTATAATATCAAGTAGCACATGGCATATATAGCTTTTCTTTCACAAAACATTGGCCATAATGATGAAGTTTTCTTCCACACAAATTGAAATTATTTTTTCAGGCTCAACATATCATTTAGATTTATATGAATGGCATTAATGTTTTAGAATTATTTGGAGAATATTAATATAAAATGTTACTTTTCTCATACAGGAAAAAGGTAACTATCTTCTTCAAGATCTCACATTTCCTTTTTCTCAAAAACAGAGGTTTTTATATTTATAGAATTTTATATTTTGCTTCTGTTGTGATGTGTACTTTATTTATACCATTAAATGCTATTACTCCATGACTATATGGAAAAGCTAATAATTTATCTGTGTTTATTTTGTAATAAACCACTTTATTATCTTTTTAGCCCAAATATAATTTGTCACTTTTCTTGATTTTTTTATGTAATAATCGTATTGACTGCACATAATAGTAATTTTGCTTCCTCTTCTCCAAAACTTATACCTCATTTTATTTTAAACTTTTTGTTGATTTTTAGGGCACTTGTACAATGTAAATAATAAATCACACCAAGTATCATTTTTCTGTGTGTGATTTTAGCAGAGGCACCTACTATTTCAGGTCAAAGTTAATCATATGTTTAATTAACGTTTCATTATCACTCTGGTGTATGTGACACACATCCTCTGTCATGTGCACCTCCTTGAAAGATGCGCAGATCTGGATGTGCTTTTCCTCAATGTTAGTATCATTGTGGTCTTAGTGTGCTCCTTTTTAAATGGGATTATATGTTTATGTCCACAGGAGTTTACGTGTAATTTATACTTAAGTTATGAAACAAAACAATAAATGACAATTAGTGAAACCATCACATGCCTGAAGAAACAGAACAGAATCATCCCAAGCCGCCCTTTCTCTCAGTTATTTCCCTACTGCATTCCTCTGCTTCCCATCACTACGGCAACAATTAGCCTGACTTTGAGGTTTATCTTGTACTTGCTTATTTTCCTAAATATTTTCATCACCATTATATGCATCTCAAAACACTATGTAGTTTGGGTTGTATTTAAACCTTATAAACGTGGATTCGTGCTGCTCATCTTCACCAAAATCACTACAAAGACTTTATTCCACTACTTACTAAGACTCTTCTGCTGCTTTCAAGGATCTAAGGGGAAAACATCCCTGCCCAAATAAACAAGTGTTTATTGAAAAAATTATTTCTCCTTCCTTGTAATGATTTATAGTCTCCCATTCCCAATTTGTGAAGCACATATGCAAAATGCATTTATCTGTACAGAGAAATTATTAAACATAGATTTTTATTCAAAATGACTTAAAAGTGTTCTCAAAGGTCAACTATACAGTATTAAGCTAAAATGTTTCCAGAGACCAAAATCAAATTCTCCATTTTAAAAATTCATTTGAAAAACATTTTACTTTTTGAACTGATGAAACGGCCATGTGTTTGAATATATAGATCTAAAAGCAATTTCAGAACAGAGTGTTACTCTTCCCTCTATCAGGTTATGAACTACAAGATAAGACAGCATTTCTCATATTTCACTGAAGCTTATCAGCTTTCGGCAGCATGCTATGCATGATGTACACACGTAATCAGAAACTGTTCATCTATCAGCGAATTAGCTTGTACCTAACCCATCTATTTTTCTAACTCCAGGAAAATTGATTTTGAAGACACTCCCATGCAGTATATATTTATCTGGCTAACTTGAAATATCTCCAATGCAATTTGAGGTAATTTCATGATTATCACCTTTTTCAAGGCCCCGAACTGCTCTTCCTGGGCGGCCCGGAGTGTGGGGATGCCACTCACCCTTTGGTCAGGTCATCTACCTGGGAGTCAGTTATTTTGATGTCTCTCTCTGAACTCCACGTCATCAGATCCCTGAGACTCTGACTCAAAATACTCGCTATTCAAAAAATCTTCATTTCTTCCACTCTACGCCCTAGTCCAAGCCAGGCCCTCCTGTCATCAAGACCACTGCAACACTTCCCCATCAGTTCCACTGCTTATGTTTTTCCCCCGTGCCAGATATTCTCTACTGGGCAGGTTGAATCATTCTTTACAGGACCAGATCACATTTCTTTTCTGCATCACCACTCAATGTCTCTCCACCACGGGCACATTAGAAGTCCAAGTCAAACACTGGCCTACACCCTGCCTTGTCTGCTCCTGACTGCCTCTCTGATCTCAGCTCTTTCTCTCTTTTCCCGCCTTCGAGTGAGGCCATGCTGGCCCCTGGCTATTGCTATGTCATGCTAAGAAGCAACATAATGTACAGAGAATTTCCTGAAGACTCAGAAATTAATAACACCAGTTTCCTTTGAAAATGAAGATACAAAGAGTGGTTAAAATAAGGAGAATTTGTAGAATGTTTGTTAAAAAAAAAAATTAAATTCTCATCTTTGTTTCCACTCTATATAGGTAGAGTGTGATAATTCCACTTGTATCTTAGCAAAAGACTCAAAGTTTATTCTGGATAAAGACAAATTTCTATAAGAGAAAACATGAGACATAGTTAAGGTTGATGGTTTTATCAGGGGTTGTCCCTCCCTTCACTCTGCACTTCTTGCTGTCACCATGTGAAGAAAGATGTGTTTGCTTCCCCTTCCACCATGATTATATGTTTCCCAAGGCCCCTCCCCAGCCCTCATAACTGTGATTGAATTAAAACTCTTTCCTTTATAAATTACTCAGTCTCAGGTATGTCTTTATTCACAGCATGAGAATAGACTAATACAGTATATTGATACCAGAAGTGAGGTCCTGCTATAAGAATACCTGAAATGTAGAAGCGATTTTGGAACTTGGTAACAGGCAGAGGTTGGAACAGTTTGGAGGGCTCAGAAGAAGACAGGAAGATGTGGGAAAGTTTGGAAATTCTTAGAGACTTGTTGAATAACTTTGACCTAAATGCTGATAGTGATATGGACAATAAAGTCCAGGCTGAGGTGGTCTCGGATGGAAATAAGGAACTTGTTGGGAACTGGATTAAAGGTCACTCTTGTTGTGCTTTAGCAAAGAGACTGGAAGCATTTCGCCACTGCCCTAGAGATCTGTGGAAATTTGAACTTGAGAGAGATGATCTAGGGTATCTGGCAGAGAAATTTCTAACCAGCAAAAAATTCAAGAGGAAGCAGAGCATAAAAGCTAGGAAAATTTGCAGCCTGATGATGCAATAGAAAAGAAAAACCCATTTTCTGGGAATAAATTCAAGCCTGCTGCAGAAATGTGCATAAATAACAAGCTAAATGTTAATCACCAACACAATGAGGAAAATGTTTCCAGGGCATGTCAAAGACCTTCACAGCAGCCCTGCCCATTGCAGACCAGGAGGCCTAGGAGGAAAAAATGGTTTTGTGGGCCGAGCCCTGGGACCTCCTGCTGTGTGTAGCCTCAGGACTTGGTGTCCTGTGTCTCAGATGCTCCAGCCATGGCTAAAGTGGGCCAAGGTACAGCTCAGGTTGTGGCTTCAGAGGTGCAAACCCCAAACCTTGGCCGCTTTGACGTGGTGTTGAGCCTTCAGGTGCACAGAAGTCAAGAATTGAGGTTTGGGAACCTCTGCCTAGATTCAGAGGTTGTATGGAAACACCTGGATATCCAGGCAAAAGTTTGCTTCAGGGGTGGGGCCCTCATGGAGAACCTTGGCTAGGGCAGTGAAGAAGGGAAATGTGGGGTCAGAGCCCACACACAAAGTCCCCACGGGAACACTGCCTAGTGGAGCTGTGAGAGAAGGGCCACCATCCTTCAGACCCCAGAATGGTAGATTCACAGACAGCTTGTACCATGCACCTGGAAAAGCCACAGACACTCAAAGCCAGCTTGTGAAAGCAGCCAGGATGGGGGTTATACCCTGCAGAGCCACAGAGGTGGAGCTGTCCATGGCTGTCGGAGCCCACCTCTTGCATCAGCATGCCCTGGATGTGAGACATGTTATCAAAGAAGATCATTTTGGAACTTTAAGGTTTAATGACTGTCCCATTGGATTTTGAACTTCTGGGGGGCCTGTGGCCCCTTTGTTTTGGCCAATTTCTCCCATTTGGAATGAGTGTATTTACTCAATGCCTGTACCTCCACTGTACCTAGGAAGTAACTAATTTGCTTTTGATTTTACAGGCTCATAAGTAGAAGGGACTTGCCTTGTCTCAGACGAGACTGGACTTGGACATTTGAGTTAAAGCTGGAATGAGTTAAGACTTCGGGGGACTGTTGTAAGGGCATGATTATGTGTTGAATTGTGAGGACATGAGATGAGGGAGGGGCCAGGAGTGGAATAATATGGTTTAGCTGTGTCCCCACCCAAATCTCATCTTAAACTATAGTTCCCATGATTCCCATGTATCATGGCAGGGACTCGGTGGGAGGTAATTGAATCATGGGGGCAGTTACCTCCATGTTGTTCTCATGATTGTGAGTTAGTTCTCCTGAGATCCGATGGTTTTATCAGGTGCTTTCCCTGACTTCTCTCTGCACTTCTCCTTGCAGCTGCCATGTGAAGAACAATGTGTTTGCTTACCCTTCCGCCATGATTGTAAGTTTCCTGAGGCCTCCCCAACCCTGCAGAACTGTGAGCAGTTAAACCTCTTTCCTTTATAAATTACCCAGTTTGGGGTGTGTCTTTATTAGCAGTGAGAGAATGGACTAATACAGTGTCTAAAACTGGAAAACTCAGAAATGGCCAAAGAATCATGTTTCATAGATGTCTTCATTGACTCAGGTTGCCATAACAGAATTCTACAGACTGGGTGTTTTAAACAACAGAAATTTATTTTCTGGAGCCTGAGAAGTCCAAAACCAAGGTGTTGGCCAATTTGGCTCCTGGCAAGGGCTCTCTTTCTGGCTTGCAGATGGGTGCCCCTCACTGTCCTCACATGGCAGAGAGAGCAGCTCTGCTATCTCTTCCTCTTCTTATAAGGACACCAGCCCTATTTGGTTAAGGCTTTACTCTTATGACCTCATTTAAACTTAATTATTTTCTTAAAGGCTCAATCTCCAATATAGTCACATTTAGGGTAAGGGTTTCAACATATGAATTTGGAGGAGACATAATTAATGCCGAAGCAATAGAAATACATAGATTAATGCCCAAGGAATCTGCTAAAAGTTTGCCACCAGTGCAGGGAAAACAGAAAGGAATAGGAAATTGCAGAGTTTTCTTTAAGGACTTATACCACTAAGTGATTAAACTATATACATGTATAATTTAGTTAAAAATAAAATTTAAAGAAGCAGCAGACAGATCTGAAATGAATCAACAATTGCAGGTGATTTTTTTCTTTTATTTAGAACATTTGCCTAATTCTAAAGGCTAATACCAAAAAAAGAGAGAGAAAAGAAAAAAACTACTTACTTGACAGGAAATTCAATTTGAGTCAACACTGAACATTGTGAAGAAACCTCACAAAACAGATTACGTTATCTTAAACTGCATTCCAGGAAGTCAAGTGTATAACCTGAGGGAGCCACAGCGCTACTCTATCTAGCAGTGGTGTGCAGGTAAAGAAGCTCTAAATTGTAGTGTGTGCTAATTTCCAGTGTGATACTGCCCACGGCTGACTTCAGTGACATCACTGAACGTAGACTTGGGAAAAGGCAGACATGATGAGCTCCTGCAAGCTGGCGTGTGCCAACCCCAGTCCACACTATAACAGATCAGAGCAGTTAGAGGAATCCTTTTCTTCCTTTATAATTTTTTCTAGTGCAATTTTAAATTTTGAAAATGAGATTGATAGAGTTTATGTATTTACAGAAAATAAAGATGCTTAAAAAAATCAAATCACATGAGTCATAGTTCAAAGAAGGGATGTTTAAGCTGAAGATAGTAAAAAGTTATAATTTTTGAATTGCTATGACTGGTTTACAATGTCAAGATCTCCAGGCACTTGATGACTTCCTTCAAATATCTGAAGGTTTTATTGGGACAGAATATTTGAAAATCCATTTTTACCACCCTGTACACACACACACTTGCACACACACACATACAAATTGCAATGGTCTTATTTACATTTCATAAGCTAGCACAAATATTGCCTCCTCCATGGATCTTCTCTGATTTAATTAATATCCATACTCTATTCCTGTTTTCCAGAGATTTCTATTGCTTCCCTCAGCACTTTATGGGTAATTTACCTCCTTATATATCTGTCTCTCCTGCTAATATGAGTGCCTCTTAAGGACAGGGAACACATCTTATTCATCATATTTCCTGACACATGTAGAGATTCAAAAAGCTTTGATTGGAGGAAAACTTGAAGCAAGTTTCAGTTTAGTAAAAGGAAGTTCTGAATCATCATTTTTTATATAGCAACAAGTTCCCTTGAGGAGCGTAATTCTGATGACTCTGGATGTCCAGGCATAAATTGGAAGCCCCATGTGGTAGACAAGCGCATGAACTAGATGACCCCCTGGTGCCTTCTGTGCACTAACTGTGTAATTGACCTTGAACAAGGGGCTCTGGCTTTAGTCCTGAATTGCACAACATTGACACTGCCCTTTCATCACCTGTAGGAAACCCTTTTTCTGAGGTTCAGATGGATGTTAAGATATTTGCTTATACTTTCTGAAAGTTTTAAAGTTTTGCCACTCACATGTCAGTCAGTAATTCCCTTGTCCTTCATTTCAGTATGATGTTAAGTAGGAATTTAATTTCTTTTCATTTTTTCATATTGAGAGGTAAGGGCTCACTTGTCCAGGACCAATGCCATTCAGGGGAGTTTATCTTCTGGGCAGGATTGTTATCTGTGCCCGAGAAAGCACAGAGGTGGTGGAGCAGGCATAAAGATTATGTGTGTGCCATGCCATACAATTATACCCTAGCCATGGGGACCAGCTCCTGATCACCCCAGCAAAGGGCCGGGGTTTCTCCTAATCATGCGTCTTTTGCCTTCCAGAAAGTAGCCTCATCACATCTCATGGTTGGCCATGATGGAACCCCATGCACTGCCCCACAGTGGGGGCACCATGCCCTTGTTAACATTTTGCCTATGTAGCATTTCCCCAGTAAATTCTCTTTCTTCCCTGGGGAATGCGCTCTTGGGTAAGCATCCTCATTTTCTTGACATATATTGACAACCAAATTTTCCAGCACTATTTATTTTATCAACTAGCCAGCTTTTACCCACAGACATACAAAGCAACCTTTTTTTGAATACATGCTGTATACACCCAAGTCTGTGTTGTAGGTTAATTATGTTTCCCAAAAAGATAGGTTCAAGTCGTAATCTCTGGTATCTGGGAATGTGACTTTATTTAATGTCTTAGTCTATTTGTTATAATGGCATTATAACAAAATACCATAGGCTGTGTAATTGATAAAGAATAGAAATGTATTTCCCATACTTCTGGAGGCTGGGGGTCCAGGATCCAGGCACCAGCAGGTTCAGTGACTGGCGAGGGCTTTATTGCTGCTTCTAAGATGGTGCCTTGTTGCTGCATCTGCCAGAGGGATCAGGCCATGTCCTCACATGGCAGTGAGCAGAAGGGCAAGAGAGGGGAACTCTATTAAGCCTCTTTAATAAGGGCATTAATCCAGGCTCTGCACACATGACTTAATCACTTTCTAAATGGCTCTACCTCTTAACACTACCACAACGGGAATTACATTTGAATTAGAACTTTGGAAAGAAAACACATTTAAACCACAGCAGGGTCTTTGCAGATGTAATCATATTAAGATCCAGTCATACTGTATTAGGACCCAAATTCAGTCTCACAGGCACACAGGGAAGAAAGCCATGTGACAATGGAAGTAGAGATAGGAGTGATGTGTCTACAGGTCAAGGAATGCCAAAAGCTGCCAGCCAGTACCAGAAACTAGAAGGGGTGAGGACAGTTTTTCCCTAGAGTCTTCAGAGGGTGCATGGTGTATTAGTCTGTTTTCACATTGCTGATAAGGACAAATCCAAGACTGGGCAATTTACAAAAGAAAGAAGTTTAATGATCTTACTGTTCCACATGGCTGGGGAAGCCTCACAATCATGGCAGAAGGCAAGGAGAGCAAGTCATGTCTTAAGTAGATGGCAACAGGCAAAGAGAGAGTGCTTATGCAGGGAAATTCCCCCTTATAAAACCATCAGCTCTCGTGAGACTTATTCACTGTCATGAGAATAGCATGGGAAAGACCTGCCCCCATGATTCAATTACCTCCCACCGGGTCCCTCCCACAACACGTGGGAATTCAAGATGAGATTTGGGTGGGGACACAACAAAATCATATCACATGGCTCTGCTGACTTGCTGATTTGGGACTTCTACTTTCCAGAACTGTGAAGCAATACATTTTGTTGTTTTAAGCCACCTAGTTTTTGGTACTTTGTCATTGCAACCCTAGGATACTAATGTGGTCTAATTCTAAGCTCTGTATTCTGTTCATTGTTGTGTGTTTCCATTTCTGCAATAATACAACAATCACTAGGGACTTATTATAAAGCTCAATAGCTAGAAGGGCAAATTCCTCACCCCTGTAATCCTTCAGTTTCCTAACTATCCCTCCCATTCTGCTCTTCCCTGTGAATGTGAGGATTAGTTTGCAAAGGTCTATGAAACACTTGTTTTAGATTTCCATCACAATTTAATGCAATCAGAAGGCTGACTTAGGAAGTATTAATAGATTTAAGGTAAACTGTTTCTAGCTATGAAAGTGGAATGAGTATTCAAATATTCAGTCATATTTTATTTTCACTGTAAAGATTTTGCACATATTTGGTAGTTTTATTTCTAGAGTTGTATAAGTATTGTTGAAATCATGAATGGGATCTTTGTTACAGTGGTCATTACTAGTGTATAAAGCGACTATTGATTTTTGTATTGGCCTCACTCTCAGCAAAGGTGCTGGAGGCCAATTTGATTACTTTGGATTTGTCTATAGACAATCACACTTACATAAAAAGACATTGTACTCTCTCATATCTAATTCTTATATTGCTTTTTTACTTTTGTCTTGTTAAATCAGTATAAACTTTAATAGAAGCAGGGATAATAGGCATGTTTGTATTATTGCTGAGTTTAATGTGATCGATTCTAAATTGTCAGCACTAATGATGAAGTTTTGAATATATTTTTTAAATGAATACTTATTATCTGCGTGAGACAGTTTTCTTCTATTAAGACCTTGCCAAGACTTTTTTTTTGAATAATGAATGTGTGGAACTTTTTCAAATAACTTTTATGTATGTCTATATAATAATGTTTTCACCTTCCATTCGTTATTCTGACAAATGTGATAATGTATACTCACATTGGTGAATGTTAATAAGTAAATAATTCTGTAATGTCTAGTAATTCTGTAATTTCTAGAACTACATAGAGTTCTCTCAGTTTTGCTTATAGGGACTCATAAGTGGGAGTTGAACAATGAGAACACATGGACACAGGGAAGGGAACATCATACACTGGGGTCTGTCGGGAGGTGGGGAGCAAGGGGAGGGATAGCATTAGGAGAAATACCTAATGTAGATGACAGGTTGATGGGTGCAGCAAACCACCATGGAACGTGTATACCTATGTAACAAACCTGCACGTTCTGCACATGTATCCCAGAACTTAAAGCATAATAAAAAAAAAAGTAAATACTTCCATAAATGTCTAATCATTCTGGAATTTCTAGAACTACATAGCATTCTCTCAGTTTTGCTTGTAGGACAATATTCCTACCCCTTAGTAAAACTGATTATCTTTTTGGGGGGCATCCTTAAGTCCTGCACACTTCTAATTTCTAATTCTTCCAACTAGAGTGATGCTAAAATGCAAGTGAACAAAGGTTTAAAGCAACATTTGACTATGTGAACTCAGAAATATTTGTCTCATGAAGTCCAGGCACATTTCAGATGCTCCCAGTGAAATAAAAAATGCGCTTAAAGCCAGGTGTGGTGGCTCACGCCTGTAATCCCAGCATTTTGGGAGGCCGAGGCAAGCAGATTGCTTGAGGCCAGGAGTTTAAGACCAGCCTGGCCAACATGGTGAAACGCTGTCTCTACTAAAAATACAAAAATTAGCTGGGCGTGGTGGCAGGCACCTGTAATCCCAGCTACTCAGGAGACTGAGGCAGAAGAATTGCTTGAACACAGGAGGTGGAAGTTGCAGTGAGCCAAGATTACGCCACTGCACTCCAACCTGGGTGACACAGTGAGACTCCAACTGAAAAAAAAATGCACTTAACATTATTTTATTGATTTGCATGAAATTCAAGGGCAAACAGACTTTCCCTGAGACGTGAATCCAGTGGGTGTATGTGTGCATTTGCACCTCCCCTTCGAAGGACTCAGAAGCACTGGCAACAGTTGAGATTTCCTCAAAAATGAAAAAGGTGCTTTTACCTCATTTGAAATAATATTTCATTATCAATTCAAGTTATCATTTGAACTTATGTACTTTTAGCAAGTGAGAAATGTTTTTCTCTGTTAAGGAAAATTAAACCAAGTTCACCAGTGTTCACCATGTACCCGTCCTTTGTGAAGCACTGCGGAGCTGTGCAACAGGCAAAGATGCAAAACAAAACCTTCCCCTGGAAGGTTTCTATGCTTTTGAAGCTAAGAAGATAATGGTTTCCACAACTGTTTTTTTTTCCATGAAAAAAACATACCAGGCTTGCACCTGATACTTAGAGTGGTAGGAACTTACTGAAGAAAAACACAGTTGTGCTCAAGGATGAAAGAGAAGTGCTCAAGGGAATCAAAAGGAAGTAGAAAAAGAAATTGGATAAAAAGAAAAAGCACCAGAAAGAAAAAACAAGCAAGTCTTTCCAGTGCCCCGACCCCGTTACCTCCTGGACCTGTTCACGGCTGCTCTGCTGTTGGGCCCTGCCGGGCTTTTTGCTGCTCCCACCTCCCAGGCTCATCAGTACTAATCTGCCTCAGCCGTGCCTGTGGCTGCCTCTCTCCTCTCCTTCTGTCTGTGCCCAAATGTCAGCCTTTCGAAGAGGCCTCACTGGACAACCCCACTGAAAACTGGAATTGGCTTCCCCCACATGTTTTCAGTCCCAATATACCCTATTCCACTTTCCTTTTATTCTCCTGTTGCTCAAAAATTTTTAGAAAGTTTACTTATGGAGCAGGGTGCAGTGGCTCATACCTGTAATCCCAGTGCTTTAGGAGGCCAAGGTGGGTGAATCACTTGAGTGCAGGAATTTGAGACCAGCCTAGGCAACATGGTGAAACCGGTCTCTACAAAAAAAAAAAAAAAAAAATACAAAACTTAGCCTGGCATGGGGGCACAGAACTGTGGTCCCAGCTACTGGGGAGGCTGAGGTGGAAGGATTTCTTGAGCCGGGGAGGTGGAAGTTGCCTTGAGCCATGATTGAACCACTGCACTCCAGCCTGGGCATCAGAGTGCGTCACTATCACAAAAAAAAAAAAAAAAAAAAAAAATTAAAGAAAATGTGTTTATTTGTTTATTTTTATTTCCTCCCTTCTCACTTACCCCAGAGAAAATACAAGTCTGGAAAGGCAGGGAGAGGAGCGTGTGTCTTCAGTGATGTGTTCCCAGTGCCCAGAACTGCACCGTGACAACAGTAGGTACACAATACTTGTTGAATGAATAAATACTTTAACTCATTTAATTCTCACAGCAATCTAGTGAAATAAGTGCTGTAATAGTGTATATTTTATAGACAAGAAAACTGAGGTCTAGAGAAGTTAAATATTTGCCACCAAGACTACATGGCCGTTTAGTAAGAAACAGAGAATTCAAAAGATGGTCTTTCTGACTCCAGAGCTCGAAAAGGACTTCCTACACTGGTGCAGGTCCTTCTGGTCAAACCAACATGGCACATCTTTGCAGCAGCCCGGGTTCAAGCACCCTCTGACTTTTTTCTTTCTTATTTCACCAAAGTACATATAGCAAAGTATTAGGCCCTTCATATAAATAAATTTCCATCGAATCAAGTCAAGGAATTAATCTGTGGGATGAATCGAGAAGCTGGATGCGAAATAGTGCCGGCGAGTTTCAGATTCCCGCTAGTGGAATCGCCAGCCGCACGCTTCCATCCCTGTACCCGCAGGCTCACCGCGAACCAGGCAGCTGGCCAGGTGTGGGGGTGATAACACTGCAGCCTCACAGAGAGCCAACTATAGCTTTAGAGAAGAAAAAGATCAAGATGACCTACCAAATGAGCCCAAACAACTAGTACGATGTTGTAACGAAAAATAAACAGAAAAAGGATAGTGCTCACTTTTCTAAATTAATATTGTTGTGTTCTGTAGACTCCGCTGCTTAAAATGGAAGTGCTTACAATAATTTGATGAAAAGATGGGGTGGCCCAGGTATCTGAGCCAGCATCCTTCTGGGGATTAAACTGTACAGACAGGAAACACAAAACACATTCAAGGGGGAGGTGGTTTTCAGAGTGCCCTGAAAGCAGACATCTTTTTTCTATTGAGAGGAAGTTTTGTTATTATTTGACTGGAGCTAATTTATGAAAAACAGCTGAAGTATCTGGTATGGATTTGTAAGGTACATATTTAATTAGGGCATTGTAAGTTCAGGTGTGTCCAAATCACATAATTGCAAAGATTTCGTTCATTTCCACACAGAAAATAGTATGGTCAATTGTCATGTGCAAACATTAAACTATCATTTAAAAAGATCCTGTGATGTCTTAATATTTGCCAATTTCAGCTTGGAGTAAAAAGACATTTTCATTTCTTGAAGGCAAGAAAAGGGGTTTATGCAAACCTCCAAATGCCTTAGCTCATTAACTTGTTCCTGCCATAAAAAATTTCAAGCTCACCAATCAAGAGCACATGGCTAGAAAGTATACCCTTGAGCTCTTTTGCTAACCAGACAAAACAAATCATAGCTGGGTGCAAAACTGCTGGTTCACCTCAGAGACCCTGCAGGACCCTCCTCCTCCTTCCTCCTTGCAGCCTGGCGACAACAACCAATCTGAGTCCAAGGGGAATCCCAGGGCACACATAGGAGGCCCCCTGCACCTTCTCAAGGCTCCACATTCTAAACTCAAATTTTCAGACTTTCCTGACCATGAGGGAACCTTTAAGTCATTAAAAAAGTCAAAAGCTCTGCAAAATAATACCTACCGTTTTAGCAACTATTGATTGAGAAACAGATGATGACAGTTGTTAAGAATCCAGTTATAATCTTATATGGTTTTGTATTTTTTAAATGACAACACGACCTATATTTCAAGAAGGTAGAAAGCGGAGGAAAAAGCCTGTGCTCCTGTGCAGATGACGTCTACTGCCCATACCGATCCCTGGGATCCTCACAGGGGCTCCCTGCCACAACACGCCACAGGGACCCAAGTCTACAGGTGGGAACTCCATCTCAGAAAGGCAAGCAGAGCGGCCGAGCATCTAAAGTGCAGTTGTGTGATGCTTCCTTTCCTCAATGGTCCTGGCATTTTTTTAGCAGCCACTCACCTGTATGAGTCGGGCTTAATGTCTCCTGTATTTGGGAAACAAACCACAGATAAATCTGTATTCACAGGATTTCCTTGTATCCTTTTTAGGCTAATATAAGGCCCCCCCCCCAAAAAAAAAAAATGAACAATACTGGGAAGCCTGGCCACTTTGGAAAGCTTCCAGGAGCCATGATTTTGACTATCAACTCCTGTTACCACTGGCTTTTTCCACATGCTAATAATAGTGATAAACCATAGGACACTTTTTCCTTTCTTCTGGAGCCCAGGGTTTGCAAGACTAGGTACAAGTGTGGATATAAGGGTGCTGGGGCCCCACTTCCTCATCACTGCTTTAAAGATCAAGGAAACTATTGGTGACCAGTAGCAGGTATTTCCTAGAATTTATTTTTATTTTTATTTTTTTATTTTTTATTTTTTGAGATGGAGTCTTGCTCTTGTCACCCAGGCTGGAGTGCAATGGCATGATCTCGGCTCACTGCAATCTCTGCCTCCCGGGTTCAGGCGAGTCTCCTGCCTCAGCCTTCCCAGTAGCTGAGATTACAGGCAACTGCCACCACACCCAGCTAATTTTTTTTTTTTTTTTTTGTATTTTTAGTAGAGATGGGGTTTCACCATATTGGCCAGGCTGGTCTTGAACTCTTGACCTCAGGTGATTCGCCTGCCTTGGCCTCCCAAAGTGCTGGGATTACAGACGTGAGCCACCGCGCCCAGCCCATTTCCTAGATTTTAAAAAAAAGGGTCTACACCTAGAAATACACTCTAAAAACATATATATATAACACATTTATTTGCATAGGAAAATGGGTAGAGAAAAAATTTTCCATGGATTTCCTGAACTGCATTAGCAGATGAGGGAAAACTCTAAAGAGTCACTATGACATTCATTACAGGTTATAAACAAGCGCATTCATGTATCTAGCACCAACGTGAGTTGCTCCTGAGTTTAGGGTATACATCCTGGTGTGAAAAACAGAGTAGGAGAAATGAAAAGAAGTTATTGCAGTTTGACAAGGGCGACCTCACTCTGAAGACTGGAATCAGGATAATTCAGTGCTGATGTTTTGGTAGAAAAATGATGGAACTTGTTTGTGTGGCTTTTTGCCTTGAAGATACAGACAAATGTGTCCAAGAGAAACAGGCAATATTTGGTGTCGTAAGATTTGTCTAGTTAACTTTTACACTATGAATACCTTTTCTTTTCCATAATTTCTCTCCAAAAGTCAGCTGCTTTTAGAACAAAACACACTGCAAACTATAGTTTGGTGTTTTAAAATGCATCAGCAAAGTGGGTGTTTGTGGTGTGTGTGTGTGTATGAGAGAGAAGAGAGTTTGAGAGGAGAGAAAGTGGAAAGTGAGAGTATTCTTCTCAAGGTCCTTCTAAAGTCTCTTGGCTATCTTTACAGTAATTCTGAGCTGTGTCTGGACTGTGCAGCAATTAGGCTAACACCATCATTTTGCTGTCCTTTTTGTTCCTGAAGCTTGCTCTTTCGCATGTGTTCAAATAATTTAATTTATGGATTGTATGCTGAGCAGGTTCAGCAAAAGTGGGGCAGGAATCCCATGAATCTTAATGCCTCACTTTACTGTAAGTCCCTCTACATTAATAAGAGAGATTTGCCAGTCCTTTAAAAAAGATCCACTATAATCTATAGCCTGCAGCTCCAGATGATAATAGCTAGATTAGTTTGCATTAAATGCTTCCACAAATGATGTGCAAAAGTGCTACTATTTCTAAATATCTGCAAGACAATTCTGAATAGCATTAACTCAGCTAAAACAAAGAGAAACAGACATTTTAATTTACACGATAATTTCACAGTGAACAAAGTTGAACCAGCTAGAAACAATGAAAAGACAAAAACCTTCCATAATTGTTAAATTATGGTTTTCATCTTTAGAATTTATTCTTTAAGAGAACTGACATTTTAGCAGCCCAGTGTCTTCATCCATTTATTTAAAGCAGCACTGGAAAAGACAAAGGGATTTCTGTTCCTAATAAAACGCATGGGGCACCCACTGTGAGCAAATCAGTGTTCCAGGCCACACAGCATATGGCGGGGTTGGGAGGAGCTGGGAAATGCAGGGAACAAGGGCAGGGACTGAGGGCATCCAGTGAAGAAGGAGGAACTGGAAGAAATAGAAAAATGAAGCTTAAATTTAGTCACAGGTGAGCTGTATAGGATGGTCACTTACTACCACCAAATACACAAGCAATCTTGATCAGGACGCTTAAGGAATACTTTTTAGTTAAATAAAAATGGATCTTAAAATATTGTTTTAATTCGTGCTAATGAAGGACAGGTGTAAATAAGTCAACTTTCCTGACCAAATCTAATAAAAACCTCACATATCTAATAAATGAAGATCATTGTCCTAAACACCAAATGTTTTTGTTCTAGAAGACAGGAGGTATAGAGATTTTGCAAGTCTAGGGAAGATGCTGTAAGAAGAGCTTTTAAAAAAAAATCCTTGTTTTATCAATTCATTATGTTAAGATTTGTTTTTCTGATTTTAGTGCTGTGTTTTTTAAACTGATAAATAGGATAGAAGAAAAAGAAAGATGACAAAAACAGAAATCAAAGAAAAAGAATGACAAAAATGAAAAGCTTACTTAGGAAAATGTTTGTGGGGGCATAGTTATGAATCTTCCCAAATCAATACATAAAAGGAGGCAAATACTAGGATGGTAAAACCCAAAACCAACAGGCAACATCTACAATAAAATCAGGGGACAAGGCATCCGTATGAACTACAAATAGGAGCAGATGAGGCCAATCTCTATAATTTAACAACCTATGTGGTCAGAAACCATGCAGTAGAAAGCAGAGGGAGGAAATAGATTCACACCAGCCTAAGCTGCTGTCAGACACACAGGTAAACTCCGCAGTCCATGCTGAGAGCTGCAGGAGAAACCCAGAGTGGGCTGTGAGACTCCAATTCATGGGAGAAATCTCACTTTGTGGAATAACTGTTGGGAGTAGAATCCAAACCGAGCAGGACAAGGGCAATGTATACAAAGAATAGTGAAGATAAAAAGCATTTGGAACAGCAGAGGTGGATATCAGAATGGATGCCACCTGTATTCATCCATTTTCATGCCACTAGTAAAGACATATCTGAGACTGGGCAATTTACAAAAGAAAAAGGTTTATAGGACTTACAGTGCCACATGGCTGGGGAGGCCTCACAGTCATGGTGGAAGGTGAAAAGCACATCTCATATGGTGGCAGAGAAGAGAGCTTGTGCAGGGAAACCCTCTTTTTTTTTTTTTTTTTTTTTTTTTTGAGACGGAGTCTCGCTCTGCGGCTCAGGCTGGAGTGCAGTGGCGCGATCTCGGCTCACTGCAAGCTCTGCCTCCCGGGTTCACGCCATTCTCCTGCCTCAGCCTCCTGAGTAGCTGGGACTACAGGCACCCACCACCGCACCTGGCTAATATTTTGTATCTTTAGTAGAGATGGGGTTTCACCATGATCTCGATCTCCTGCCCTCATGATCAGCCTGCCTTGGCCTCCCAAAGTGCTGGGATTACAGGCGTGAGCCACTGCGCCCGGCCGGAAACCCTCAATTTTAAAACCATCAGCTCTTGTGAGACTCATCACTATCACAAGAACAGCACAGGAAAGACTCACCTCTATGATTCAATTATCTCCCACCAGGTCCCTCCCACAACACATGGGAATTATGGGAGTTACAAAATGAGATTTAGATGGGGACACAGCCAAACCATATCACCACAATATTTTTAAATTTATTTTTTAAGTTGTAAAATATGCACAACTAAAGTTTACCATCTTAAGTGTGCAGTTCAGTGGCATTAAGTGCATTTACACTGTTGTACCACCATCACCATCATCTATTCACAGAATCTTTTCTCTTACAAAACTGAAACTCCTTACCCATTAAACAGAACTCCTCATTCCCTGCATTATCCATTCTTGTAGTAAATATGGTATGTTTACTAAGTAGGACTATATTCTGAGCCATACACAAAATAAAGTTCTCAAATTACAGATGCTATAAAAATATTTTGTATCTAATTAGTCAAAACAAATATTTTAATATTATTCACACATTACTTGAATTAATAACTATATTTCTTGAATAGTACAGCTTAAGAAAAAATATGTTTATATTTGTGTATGTATGTATATAGGTATATGTAAATATGTATATTTGAATTTCTTTCAAAATAAATATTATCCTCTTTTTAAAATGTGGAAATATGGAATCATTTCTTGCACTGCCTCAGATCTATGCTCCTGACACGGGGCTTGCTCTGCCTTTCACCCTGTATCCTTGTTTCCTTCCATCAGCTCCCACCAAGTTAGTTTTATTCTTAGAAAAGTCAGTTGTTTTTTTCCTCAACTGTTTGTATCGCCTTTATGTCTTATTATAATTAAATAATTGATAAAAAATTGTATGCAAACCAAAGAATTAGAATCACAATAAAAGATTTTTATATGAGATATAAGTAAATGTTGTGTAAAGTCTTAATTTGAAAAAGCAGGTGTAAAAATAAATCACTGTAAGTTGGAAATTCCAAAGGAAATAAGTATTATTCAGAAAGGTTCTGAAATCAGATTTCTTTCCAAACTTTGTAATGTCTTATGTCTCATTCCACTTTAAAGGAAACATCATAGAAAATTACAAATAACTCATATGGGGTGTGTGTCTGTGTGTGTGCATTTGTGTTTTCTAAACAAAGCTGAAATGATCAATTATCAAATCTATACTCAGGAAAGCTGGCTTTGATAAATAAGTCTATGTGCTCAAATTTGTTAACCTAAATGAAATGGACAAATTTATTAAAAGAGAGAATTTGTCAAAACTCCCACAAGAAGAAATATATAATCTGAATAGACAGATGTATATTAAATAAACTGAATCAATAATTACCTTCCAAAAGAGAAAGCACACAGCCTGGCTGGCTCACTGGTGAATTTGATCAAACATTTAAAGAGAAAATTATATCAATTTTTAAATAAACTCTCATAAGATAGGAATAGAAGGAGTATTTCCTAACTCATTCTATGAAGCCAGCATCACACTAATATTACAACCAAAGACACTACAAGAAAATTATAGACCAATATCACTGATGAGCATGGATGCAAAATTCCTCAACAACATATTAGAAAATCAAATCTACCAATGTATAAAAGAATTATATACCACAATTGTATTAGTCAGTGTTCTCTAAAGGGACAGAACTAATAGGATAGATGTATGTATGAAGGAGAGTTTACTAAGGAGTATTGACTCAAACAGTCATAAGGTGAAGTCACACAATAGGCTGTCTGAAAGCTGAGAAGCAAGGAAGCCAAAACCTCAAATGTATGGAAGCTGTTCAGTCTGTGGCTGAAGGCCAAAGAGCCCCTAGCAAATGTTACTGCTGTAAGTCCAAGAGTCCAAAAGCTGAAGAACTTGGAGTCTAATGTTTGAGGGCAGGAAGCATCCAGCATGGGAGAAAGATGAAGGCTGGAAGACTCAGCAATTCAAGCTCTTCCACATTGCTCTGCCTGCTTTATTCTAGCCACGCTAGCAGCTGATTAGGTGATGCCCACCCAGATTGAGGGTAGGTCTGTGTCTCCTAATCCACGGATTCAAATGTTAATCTCCTTTGGCAACACCCTCACAGATACAACCAGGAACAATATTTGCATCCTTTAATCCAATCAAGTTGACAATCAATATTAACCATCACAAGTCCACCCCCTGTCAAGTTGAACCTATATACATCTCCTGAGATCATACATAATCTTTAAATAAAGACAATAATAAGGTCATAATTATGCCTAACATAATACAGCTATCCTGTGCACAATCAGAAGCACACTAATCCTTAACCTAAATACTATTACATAAAGTTAGCAACACTTAAGTGCTGATATGAAGTTAATAAATCTTATGTCACATGATAAAAAGAAAGGAAAGAAAGGAAATAAATTGAAGATATTTTTGATACAGGAGTTAAGAAGAAATTACTTAGGCAGATAGTGAGGGTACTGAAGTCCTCAGCAAGGTTTTCCTTTTAGTGAAAAGCAGCTCCAAATTATTTTCCTTTCTAATAAACAGCAGCATGTAAAGTCAAACTGCAGACATAGATGCTGGCAGCTGTGCCAATCATGTTCAAGATGGCAGCTCCATCTTCCCTTCTCTTTGTCAGCCACATGTACAATAAGGAGCAGACCAGATGGCACTGGCTAAGAGGAAAGTTCATTTGCTTGATAAGATTATGGGGGGGCAGCCAGTCTTCCCCACATGCTATGTAAACGTCACACTTGATCAAACTAATCTGTGAGCACTACGTGAATCAGACACCACCTCCTCAAGCCAGACTATAAAATCTGGCACATCCACCGCCAGCTGATCTTTTCTGTTGGAAGTCACCTCTCTCTCAATAGAGAGAGAGCGCAGTTTTACTTTCTCTTTCATCTGCCTATTAAACCTCTGCTCCTAAACTCCTCATGTGTGTCCATTTCCTAAATTTCTGGTGCAAGATGAAGAACCCCAGGTGTATACCCCAGATAATGTAGCTGCTTCATACTGGGGGCTCATCCAGGATACCAAGGTACAACATTCATCAAAACGGTGAGTAGAGGCATGGACTCCAACTTTGTCCTTTCATTTTGGGGCTCTCGGGCTCCATTTTAGAATCAAATCAAATCAATAACAGGCATCCATCAGTCAGTTAAAAACATGATTACCGTGGCTGCCATTCTTAAAGACTTGGATGTGAGGCTTACCGGGGAGAACGTAGAGAATCCCCCAGCATCCACAAGTTGCTGGGCATATTGGCCATGTTTGAACCAGTTACTTTTCATGGAGGACTTAACTGTTGCATGGGGCTGAAAGAGGTCCTTGAGCAACTGAGGATTTCTGGCTGGGGCTACCCGCTGGTGTTATCCAAAGGCTTCTAGACTGACTCCAGCCTCCAGCTGCCCAATGGGGTGTTGGCAACAGGATCTCCAATGTTTGTATCATAATTTCCTCCTTTCCTGTCCACGACTGCCATATCCCCTGTCCTCTCTGTGTATGCAATGTGTGGGAAGTTTTACAGTTCAGGGAAGTAATCTTGTTAGGCAAGGTCAGGGAATGCCATAGTAACTGGGGATATAGCTTAAGGGAATGCTGTCTTTGTGATTCCCTACCCCCCTCTGCCCTTAATCTGGAGAGCACATGGCATTTCCAGATCACTCTTTGCCCTTGGTCTAGCAAGCACATGCCATTTCCAGCTCTCTCTCTGCCCTTGGTCTGGAGAGCACTCAAGGTCACTCTACCCTTGACCTAGAAATCACATGGCATTTCTAGGTAAATAGTGTCACCTAGTGGTGTAGGATTTCTCTCCATTAGGCACATTGTTGGATCTTTACCGAAACACCCTAGCATCCCAATTGTCCTCCCTTTTAGTTCCTCTCTACTTGAAACCGGGGTTTATGCTGCTTCTGTGAACAGGAGAACTCGGCCCTCAACAATTAGGAGTAAAATGTCCTCTGGAACGAAATTTTAGTGTCAGTACTGCCCCATCAGCAGGAAAATGACCATTCAGTCCCTACATTTTTTAAGGCACTTATTCTGGCTCCAATTAAAATGATACTTAATTAGTAAGGGGATTTTAAGTTTGGCAGTTAACTAGAACCATTCTCTAAGGGTAAACGCTTTAGTACAAGCCATAATAGCAGGATATAGTGCTCAAACCAGCACACTTCCTCCATTAAGGAGGAAAATGCAACTGTCGCATAGCCTCTCCCGAGATCCATTTCTCAGGGAGCCAGGCAGGTCTTACAAGTCTAGGAAGTCAAGGGAAATCACAGGCAGAGGACTAAAGCTGCATGGGTGAGCGTGACTAATCCCACTTAGTTCCTCTAGTCCCCTGGCTGAAGGTCACACACGAAACCATGGGCAGCATGTTCAACAAGGTGCTAGTACCCAGGAACCACGGAGGAAAAACAGCAGCAGGGACACCCCCACTATCTCCCTCTCCACTCTGGGTCACACTAAAAAAGGGATGCCATTTTCTTGCTTCTTGCTTCCCTTTCTAGATGGGTAAGAGATCATCTTCAGCTTGCACCCCTCTGAAGTACATTGTGAAGCACAAGAACTCCTTTGACCCTGAAACGTTAAAGAATAAAGCAGCTCATTTTCTTTTGCACAAGGGCATGACCTTCCTACTAGACCTTTCCAGGCGTTACAAAATCAACACAACTTTTATAGTAGTCATATCAGGCAGGCCTATAGAGAATGATTCTCCAAAGTTAGAGAAGCAACTTCCAGGTGAACAATCTGAGGATGCCCCTATTCAGGGCCCCCATAAGTTCCCTTCTCATTACAGGACCTTAGGCAAATAAAGGGAGACTCAGGCCAATTTTCTAATGACCCTGGTAGGTATATAGAAGTTTTCCAAATTTTAACTGTGGTGTTTGGCCTCTCATGAAGGGATGTTAGGCTGCTTCTAAGCCAAATTCGAACTGTGGTTGAAAAACAGGAAGCTCTGCAGGGAGCTGAGAATTTCAGAGATGAGCAATATGTCTCCTATAGTAGGCCAAAAGGGAAAAGAGAAAATAGGGAAGGTGAAGCAATAGAGGAAACACCATTGCCAATAGGAAGGGAATCAGTGCCTCTTGACAACTCTAGTTAGAACCCCCAAATTTCTCTATGGTATTTTTTCTTCTTTTATGGCTTAAAATGGCTCCTATCTAACTTTATAATGTTCTTCCAACATGGGAAACGTTAATTTCACCAAACCTTATAATGCTTAGCTTAGGGTTGAGCTAGGAGGAAGGGAGCCTAGAAGTCTCACATGCCAGCAAAAGAGTAAAAGATTTTTTTTGCTGTTGTTGTTGTTTTTTACCAATTAGGCTTTTGGTGTCTTTCTCCCTGTGGAAACCAGTAAAAGAAACAATAAGGATCACTCTTTATATTCTCTGTAAAGTTTCAATTAATGAAAAAGAACTTCTGAGGTTGGTCTTAGGCTGTAGCCAATCTGTTGTGCTTTGTGTGTCTTTCTGTATGGTTCTGTCAAAAGAAAGGGTACCTTAGGCTAGTATGCAGAACCTCATAAGCCTGCTATTCAAGCCAGCCCAACAAAATGGCTGGTAACAAACTTGGCTATGGGTCTCCAACTTGTTTCATGTCTTTGGAAACATGACCAGTAACCACGTGGCAATACTTTGTTTTAGTCTCTGTCATTTTACAACAGTGACTGTCTTGTGCTAAGTCAGTTCCTGGGTGAGGGCTACAAAATCAGGTAAGCCAGTTTATCAATTTGGGTGGGGCCAGCTAATCCATCAAGGGCAGGGTTTACAACATATCTTAAGCACTGATCTTGAGAGCAGATAAGGGAAGGTCAAAATCTTGTAGCCTCCAGCTGCATGAGTCCTAAGCCATGGTTTCTAATCTTATGGCTAGTTTCTTGGTCTGGTCCCCAGGCAAGAGGGAAGTATATCTTAGGAAGAGGCTGTTATTAGCTTTTTTGTACTATAAACTGTAAACCAGGCTCCTCCCAAAGTTGGTTTGACCTATGCCCAGGGTTGGGTAAGGAGAGCTTGGGGGCTGGAAATAAAATGGAGTTGGTTGGGTTGAATCTCTTTCACTGCCTCAGTCACAATTCTGTAACAACAATTTCAAAAGCTGCTTACTATCCCTTTAAAAATACCTTATACACTTGTGGCTAAGTCAAAACCTCATTATGGCTTGTTGGCTTCACCTGTGAGGTTACTTTTTGTAAAGTTCAAAAGCTGAAAATCTTAACTGCTTGGCATGGCTAAAGTTGAGTAACAAGAGATTTAAAAGGATTTTCTTAAAGAGTGCTCGGCTTAATTAAGAGTGAATATTCAAGTTATATGGATATTTAAAAGGCCTTTATGTTTTTCTCTTCTTGGATCTTGCTTTTCTAATAAAAGGTTCTCTTTTTCATTCTCAATCAACTGAATTATTTTTCTCTATTATTCGTCTTGCCACTATTAATGCACATATGAGAGGCCCTAAGATAAATTCTGGTAGCCTGGGACTCCTTGGGAAAAACATAGGAGTTGCCACAGACCCCATTTTGGGAAAAAAAAATCCCGTTTTCCTCATGAAACCCCAGGAATTAAAAGCAGATAGATCCCTCTCAAAATCAAAGGAGCAGTTCTGTTTTGCCTTCTGTTATCTGACAGTTTTGAGTTTTTGGGTAATCAAATTACTTCACATTATGAGAGAGATTTGGTGTGTAATAACTAGGTAGGAAATATACTTTAAGGGATGGCTAATGATAGTTATGGAGGGTTACTTAACTGTTTGCACATTTGAATCAGAGAAGCATGCTCTTGGTCACCTGAAAGATATGGAAACTTCGCTACCCCCACTGAGAGATGAGACTCCCATGGGGGATGGGCTGATTACAAAATAAGCCCACTGGCTTTGGGTTGCCTTGCAATAAAATGCATGGTAGAAGCACTGTACTGTCTTCTCCCATAGTATCTCCCTCTTTTGGGGGATCCAAGATCCAGTTTAAAATGGCACTCTTAATTTTGGGGATATGTCTTTGCTTTCAGCTGTGCCTGCTTATTAGGCCCTAAAAATGCATGCCATCCTGGCCCTGCTCCTCTGAGGGCTCCAGCCTGAAGCCAGTAATCCAATTAAAAAAATGGCAGATGAAAAATTTTACAAGTGCTGAATATTCTATCTGTTTGTGTCACCATATATGTGTTGCATGTAATATCTATCTTAAAAAAGCTCTGATTGGCTTAAAAAATAAGCACTTAAATATTTTTTAGTTCATATGACTTTATTCATTAATAAATATAAATAGTCTTAACGATTATTGGTAAAATGCAAGTGTCATCAAAATGCAAATAGGTGGTCTAAATAATACAACTTAGATACTAGGTTTGCTAAATGTTCCAAGGTAGTATACTGCATGCTTTACAAATAGGTGAGGCCTGGGACACGTATAGTTAGATGCTGCAAAGAGTCAGACCTTATCTTCATTTCTGTCTGAGTCCAAGGCTCCACATCTGGTACGTAATTAAAATCACTTACTAATCAGGTGTTTCACCAAAAGTAAAAGTTGCTAAGACTTAACAGTGCAACATGTATCTGAGACCACTAAACAATTTCACATGAAAGGCATATAAAAACAGTAAAATGTGTTTCTAGTAAAAGATTATGAGAAGGCATGGAAATGTAAATATTGCCTAGTCATAAAGAATTGTCTTAAAGTAGATAAGAAAGCTGAAGTTTTAAGCAAGTTATAGAAAGATTATAAAAATTATTCTTGCAAAAAATGTGTAAACATTAGCTAAATTCAACAGGGTATTACATGGTATTTTCATAAATTGAGCATTGAAATAAAAGCACAGCAAGGTTGTTGTAAGATGATTATCTGCCCTTTAGCAAAAAAGGTTATAAAAGGTTTGTAAAAATTTCACCTCATGGTCAAATTGTTAAGATTAGTTGGAATCATCGATAAGGTTTCATTTAAACAAATTGGGGTTAAAATTAATAAATATATGCAAGGGTAAAATTTGGCTTTGAACAGGATTTTTATGTAATAGTAAAAACTAATGAAAGGTTTTTGCCTTTTGCATCATCATTTTTGGCAAAATAAATAATTTATGGCAATCTGGAATTCTATTTCATAACATCGAGTGTTTTAAATCTCTGACATTTAACAGGCATCCCAAAATCAAACTTCAAGATTTAAAATTGTCTTTCCTGTTGCCTGGCTTTCTGAATGGTTCTGAGGGCCCTGGAAACATTCAGAGAAAAGGTAAACAGGATTATTTGACATGTTTAGTCACATGAGATTGCCAAAATGATGTCCAATCTTATTTAAGTTATATTTTGATGAATACTAATATATGCCTCAAACTTGTATGGGATTTCTAAAATTTTAATGTCTAAGTATATGCTATCAATCATAAAAGTTACTAAAGTTATTGTAAACCACTGAGACAACTAAACTTCTTTGTCAGTCATGTTTTTAACTACCCTGGAAATTTTGTCATTCACAGACAATTGTTGTCTTACTTTGTTTCCTCTCAAAAGATGCTTTACAATCAAGCTATAGAGCTTTACCAGGTGTTCTCAAATGTGGGTTTTTAATAGCTTTGAAGATTGTAACATTGAAATAGAGATAAAAAACCATACAGGACTCATGAAGAACTGAAACATGCATGAATATCAAACAAAACAAGAGTTAACTAAATGGACTGCACTCAGAAAGCTAAAGCAACCTTTTTGACTTTTGCTTGGAATATTGCCGATCCTTGTTTTTCAGAGTCAAGGAAACTCATTTTGAACTATTTACAGCCTTTAATAATTGAGTAATGTATACTCCGGTGAATGAAATTTAGAGCACATTTGTTTCTCTCTGCCTGGTTTCTCCAGAATTTGGAAACTATCTGTGAGTATTCTTAACTTATGGCAATACAGTTTTTTGTACCAGTGCAATAAGAATCTATTTTTTTTTTTTTTTTTTGCAATAGGACACAATTGGAAAAAAACTGCTTATTCTACCAAGGCTTTGACTGGAAAGGTATGTTTTCCTTTAAGGAATCAAGCTTGATGTGCAAAGCCAATAAAAGTGCCTCGGGGAAGACTGGCCTCATACCTTGTCTACACAGTCCCTGTACGGTGTTCCTAACCTGTGGTCAGTAAAGAATGTAACTTTCTAACAGGTACAGGAGCTCCAAGTTTATCTTGGGACCTTAAGAGAAAAGGATCACCCAACTCACAAGTATTTGAGGATACAAACCCATGGCTGAGCTTGGCTTTAAAAGGTCTTATCTAAGATTCCTTGTGGAACAGATTTCCAGCAAAGCCAATCCAAAAGGCCTATGTAGAAATAATTATTCTTCCCGTACTTTATGCAAATAATCAGGCCAATTATAAGAGCAAAGTTTATTCTACGAACAACATGCACAGTTCCATCACAATTTGTTTTTACCAAAAAAAATTAGGACCAGAGACAGAAATTGTGCTCCAAAGATTATCATACATTTGTCATTAAATTTTCGTCTCATTGATTGTTTTTAAGTTTTTTGTGTACATTTTAGACTAACCCTGCTTATTCCTTTAAATCAAATAATGACCTCCTGCAGCTCAGAAGAAACCAAAAGGGATGGGGAATATAAAAATCTGGATCAATATGCTAGCTCTGGACAATTATCCTGCAAATTCTGCCAGGTAATGAAAGTGAGTAGGATGCCCATAACACAGAGGTTCCTTTGTTTGAAAAGATAAAACCAAGGAACTTCACAGACCTCCAAAGGGAAATTCTATATCTTGATAAGTAAAATTTGAGATGGAAATAACCTACTATAACACCCTCACAGGAATTGCTATATTCACTCTACTATTTCCAATAGAGCTATACATGGTAGTACCTTCTAACTGAAATATTGGACAGAGAGTTTCCATTGCTGTAGTAGTTTGCTTAGTTATTATCCTTATAGCAGGGATAATAGTTACCAACAAAAAGCATCGTGAAAGTTTTTCTGTCATTGAGTCTGCTAGAACTTCTTATTGTGTTTGGTAATACGTCACACCTTGGCTATGCAAAGAAGGTTATAATGGAAAGAGATTTTTTTACAAGAAAGGATCTTTTATGGTAAATACTTGTCCTAAAGAGAATAGTTGGTTGTTTAAAAGAGGGATGTTTAGGACAAGTCAGAAGGTTTAAGCATATTGTAGATGGTTCATGGAGGTCATGAAAGGATTATAAGGATGGTAACTACTTGTTCTAAAAAGAATAGTTGATTGTTTAAAAAGAAGGATGTTTAGGACAAGTCGGAAAGCTTAAGCATGTCTTAAATGGTCTGTGGAAGTCATGAAGGGATTAATAATTGCAGGAAAGATTTAGCCAAGGTTAACACTAAAGTTACTCTAGCCACCCAAATCCAGTGCCACTTATCCTAAAAGGAATGTTACTTCTATATTAATGTTTCAGCAACATCTGATGGAGGCAAACCAGTGTTACAACCTATCGGAATGGTTGACAGCAATCAAACTCCAAATGGTGCTGCAGAGAGAACCACGCATGGACATGCCTTCTTATGAGGACCAACCCCAGGAGGAACCTTAGCTGCTGTTCCCCACACAACACCCCTTTTCAGCAGGAAGTAGCCAGAAAGTGTCATCATCCACACAACCACAAGCTGAAGTCCCACAATAGGCCATCTGCAAGCTGAGGAGCAGGGAAGCCAGTCCAAGTCCCCAAACCTCAAAAGTAGGGAAGCCAGGAGTCTTCATTCTGTGGCTGAAGGCCCAATAGACCCTGGCAAATGACTGGTAACCCACTCGTGTAAGTCTAAGAGTCCAAAAGCTGAAGAACTTGGAGTCTGACGATTGAGGGCAGGAATTATCCAGCACGAGAGAAAAATGAAGTCCAGAAGACTCAGCAAGTCAAGTCCTTTGCTGTTCTTCTGCCTGCTTTATTCTAGCTATGCTGGCAGCTGATTAAATGGTGCCCACCTGGATTGAGGGTGGGTCTGACTCTCTCAGTTCACTGACTCAAATATTAATCTACTTTGGCAACACCCTCACAGACTCACCCAGGAACAATACTTTGCATCTTTTAATTAAGTTGACACTCAATATTAACCATTACAACAACCAAGTGGGATTTATCCCAGATATGCAAAGCCAGTACAATATTCAAAAATAATTAATTTACTTTATCACATCAATAGAGAAATCACATAATAGATACAGTCAAAGGATTTTACAAAATCCCATGCTCATTCTTGATTAAAGCTCTCAGTAAACTAAAAATAGTGAACCATTTCCTCGACTTGATATAGAATATCTATAAAACATCTACAGCTAACATTATCTTTTATAGTAACAAACTCAAAGATTTTTCACTAAGATCAGAAACAAGGCAATGATGTTCTCTCTCACCACACCTTTTCAACATTGTACTAGAAGTTCTAGCTAATGCAGTAAGGCAATAAGAGGAAATAGAAGTATGCTGATTGGGAAGTAAGAAATAAAGTTTTCTTTAATTGCAGAAGACACATTTATCTATGTAGAAAATCTGAAAGAACCAATGAAAAAATTTCTGAAACTAATAAACAATCATAGCAAAATTGCAGGATATAAGGTTAATATACAAATGTCAATAGCTTTCCTATAAACCAGCAATAAACAGGGATTGTTTTAATTTAATTTCAAATTAATTAAAACACAATACCATTTCACTAGCACTCCCCAAAATGAAATACATAGGTATAAATATAGCAAAAAAATGCACAAGATCTATTTGAGAAAAGTGGCCAAAAACTCTGACGAAAGAAATAATAGAAGAACTAAATAAGTAGAACAATATCCCATATTCACGAAGAGGAAGACTCAATATTGTCAAGATGTCAGCTCTACCCAACTTAATCTATATGTCATCAAAATAAAAAATCCCAGCAAGTTATTTTATAGATATTATCAAACTTAGTCTAAAGTTTATGTGGAGAGTACAAAAAAAAACAGAATAGCGAATACACATTGAAAGAGAGAAACAAAGATGTAGGACTGACACTACTCAACTTTAAGACTTACTGTAAAGCTACAGTAATCAAGACAGTGTGGTTTGGTTGAAGAATAAACAAATAGATCAATGGAACAAAATACAGAGCTGAGAAACAGAACCACATAAATACAGTCAACTAATCTTTAACAAAGGAACAAAGGCAATACAATGGAGAAAAGATAGTCTTTTCAACAAATGGTGCTGAGACAACTGAACAGCCACATGCAAAAACGTGAATCTAGAAACATACCTTAAACTCTTCAAAAAATAGCTCAAAATTGGTTATAGATATAAACGCAAAATGAAAACTATAAAATTCCTGGAAGTTAACAAAAAAGAAAATCTATTATAGATGACATTGGGTTTGACAATGATAGAACACCAAATGTACCCAATGAGGGTGATAACAGTATATACTCCAAAGGTTTTGTGTGAGGATTAAATGAGTTAAAATACAAAGCTGTTACTTGAATGGAAAGTGGTATACAGGAAGTAATAACACTCATGAATGATCCATGAAAAAATTGATAAGCTGGACTTTATTAAAATTAAAATTTTCTGCCCTGGGAAAGACAATGTCAAGAGAATAAGACAAGCAACAGATGGAAAAAAAAAAGTTTGCAAAAAACATCTGACAAAGGACTGTCATTCAAATACACAAACAATTCTTAGAACTCAACAATAAGAAAATAAACAATCCTATTAAAAATGGGCCAACGACCTTAGCAGACATTTCACCAAGGAAGTTATACAGATGGCAAATAAGCATATGAAATGATGTTTCATAATATATGTCATCAGAGAAATGCAGATTCAAATGATCTGATGCCACTATACACCCACTTGAATGGCCAACATCCAGAACACTGACAACATCACATGCTAATAACGACGTGGAGCAACAGGAACTCTCATTCATTGCTAATGGGAATGAAAAATGGGGCAGCCACTTTGGAAAACAGGTCCTTACAGCACTAAACATACTCTCACCATATGAACCAGTAATCACATTCCTTGGTATTTACTCAAATGAGGTTTAAAAACATGTTCACAGAAAAACCTGCCTATGCCTACAAATGTTTAGAGCAACTTTATTCACAATTGGCAAAACTTTATTCATAATTGTCAAAGCAATCAAGATGTCTTTCATTAGATGAATGGATAAATAAACAACTAAACAATGGAAAATTATTCAGAGGTGAACTATGGAGCCACTAAAAACATAAAGGAAGCTTAAGTGCATATTAATAAGTGAACATAGCCAATCCAAAAAAAGCTGTCTACTCTATGATTCCAATATGGGACACTCTGGAAGGACAAAGCTATAGAGACACTAAAAAGATCAGTAGCTGTTGCGGGGTGGAGGAGGGAGCGATGAATAGGCAGAGCACAGAGGATTTTTAGAGTGGTAAAAATTCTCTGTGTGATACTACAAAGGTAGGCACATTGGACACATTTGTCCAATACGATAGAATGTACAACACAAAGGACAAATCTAATGTAAACAATGGACTTTGAGTGACAATGACGTTGTCAAAGCAGACGCATAACCTGTAACGATGAACCACCATAGTGGGGGATGTTGCTAATGTGGGAGGCTGGGCATGTATCAGAACAGGGGGATGTTCTGATGTTCTGGAAGGTGCACAGGAACACTGTGTTCCTCAATTTTGCTGTGAACCTAAGCTTGCTCTTTTAAAGGGTCTTTAAAATAAGGTAGCTTTGGCTATACACCAAGAGACTGGCTGATGAGATCATCTGTATGACTTAAAATAGAGTAAAAATGCTTAACAAATTTATCATGTATGTGTTTAATAAAATATTATAGAAATTATAATTTATTACTTTTTAAAATGATCTATTAATTCTATTTTTATTAGCATTGGTAATACTTTGTATTTTAGAATTTCTCCTTATTGTAGCTTTTTTAAAATTGAGGTTATGCTAGTGCTGGCACAGTGTTAACTATGCTCTGTAATGTTGTATTAGTTTCTTGGGGCTGCCCATAAAAAAGTACTACAGACTGAGTGGTATACACAACAGAAATTTATTCTTTCCCAGTTCTGGAGGATAGAAGTCCATGATTGAGGTGTCGTCAGGGTTAGTTTATTTTGAGGGCTGTGAGGGAAAGATCTGCTTCAGGCCTCTCTTGGCTTGTAGATGCCTCTTCTCTATGCATTTTCATATCATCTTTCCCCTTCATATGTCTGTCTCTGCATCCAGTTTTCCCCATTTTATAGGGACACCAGTCATATTGAATTAGGCCCACTCTAATGATGACATTTTAACTCAGTCACCTCGGTAAATACCCTATTTTTGAATAAGGTCACATTTTGAGGCACAAGGAGTTAGGACTTCAATCTCCTTGGGTGGACACAATTCAACCCATAACAAATGTCTTTTAACCTTCAGTCCAGTCTTGAGAGGTAGGTATAATTATCCAGCAGATGAAGAAACTGCCCGGGGGGTCGCAGTATTTTATCTGCAGGATGTGGAGAAGCAAGCCCAAAACACCAAATAAAGACCAAGTTCTTAAACATGACAGGAAACAGCACAGCCTTCCCCTTGGAAAAGCCATCTTCACTTGGGAACACACACAGACACACAAACACATAGACACACACATACACCATCTCAAACCATTCTAGAACTGCTGACAGAGAACTTAAATGGATGCTCTTAATTAGAAAATATTTGAGTGAGAGAAACTTACTTAAACATTGCATTTCCATTGTTCTTTTGATCCAAGGATTCTCTTCTCCAGCAGTTCAGGAGAATTATCTGCAAAGCATTTAAAACTTACAAATGCCCATAACCCTTCACAGATCAGATTTAACTCTTCAGGTATTTGTAATATTCAGCCAGGGCTGAGAACACTACGTCATTGGTAAATACAGTGAGATATGTTTTTGTCATATGAACATGAAGAATTAAATCACCAAGAATAAAATCTATGTCAGTCATGAATCAAAACTACTATCCAATGGGGAGGAAAAATTTAATTACTGAACACGTCTTCCATATCAAGTTTCATGCCAAGAACATTGTCTTTTCTTTTTTCATTAGGAAAAAAATATGTGGCGGTGATAAAATGTGCTTTTCTCACACTCTGTGGCATATTAGGCAATGACCTAGGGCTATTCCTTAAATGTTCTGTTTCTTTCATTTCTCTCCAGTAGAAGAAAATTATAAAACCAACCATTTCTATCAAGAATATGTAAAAAGTGACTTAGAAGAGGAAAAAGACAGCATTTTGCAGGTATAAAGCACTCCACAGAAAAGTATTGGCAGCTAGGATTATTATGATTGTCATCCTATGAACTGCTATATTATTGTATCTAGCACTATTATAGCTTTTGTGTGCTACACATCTTCACAAACTAGCAGCATTAAGGAATTAGACAAGAAAGACAATTATTAATGAGAAAAATGACCCTACAGCATTCATACTTCTTTTTTTAACATTAAAGTTTTTATTTATTTATTTATTTATTTATTATTATTATACTTTAAGTTTTAGGGTACATGTGCACAATGTACAGGTTAGCTACATATGTATACATGTGCCATGCTGGTGTGCTGCACCCACTAACTCGTCATCTAGCATTAGGTATATCTCCCAATGCTATCCCTCCCCCCTCCCCCCAACCCACAACAGTCCCCAGAGTGTGATGTTCCCCTTCCTGTGTCCATGTGTTCTCATTGTTCAATTCCCATCTATGAGTGAGAACATGCAGTGTTTGGTTTTTTGTTCTTGCAATAGTTTACTGAGAATGATGATTTCCAGTTTCATCCATGTCCCTACAAAGGACATGAACTCATCATTTTTTATGGCTGCATGGTATTCCATGGTGTATATGTGCCACATTTTCTTAATCCAGTCTATCATTGTTGGACATTTGGGTTGGTTCCAAGTCTTTGCTATTGTGAATAATGCCTCAATAAACATACGTATGCATGTGTCTTTATAGCAGCATGATTCATACTCCTTTGGGTATATACCCAGTAATGGGATGGCTGGGTCAAATGGTATTTCTAGTTCTAGATCCCTGAGGAATCGCCACACTGACTTCCACAATGGTTGAACTAGTTTACAGTCCCACCAACAGTGTAAAAGTGTTCCTATTTCTCCACATCCTCTCCAGCACCTGTTGTTTCCTGACTTTTTAATGATTGCCATTCTAACTGGTGTGAGATGGTATCTCATTGTGGTTTTGATTTGCATTTCTCTGATGGCCAGTGATGGTGAGCATTTTTTCATGTGTTTTTTGGCTGCATAAATATCTTCTTTTGAGAAGTGTCTGTTCATATCCTTCGCCCAATTTTTGATGGGGTTGTTTGTTTGTTTCTTGTAAATTTGTTTGAGTTCATTGTAGATTCTGGATATTAGCCCTTTGTCAGATGAGGAGGTTGCGAAAATTTTCTCCCATTTTGTAGGTTGCCTGTTCACTCTGATGGTAGTTTCTTTTGCTGTGCAGAAGCTCTTTAGTTTAATTAGATCCCATTTGTCAATTTTGGCTTTTGTTGCCATTGCTTTTGGTGTTTTAGACATGAAGTCCTTGCCCATGCCTATGTCCTGAATGGTAATGCCTAGGTTTTCTTCTAGGGTTTTTATGGTTTTAGGTTTAACGTTTAAGTCTTTAATCCATCTTGAATTGATTTTTGTATAAGGTGTGAGGAAGGGATCCAGTTTCAGCTTTCTACATATGACTAGCCAGTTTTCCCAGCACCATTTATTAAATAGGGAATCCTTTCCCCATTGCTTGTTTTTCTCAGGTTTGTCAAAGATCAGATAGTTGTAGATATGCGGCGTTATTTCTGAGGGCTCTGTTCTGTTCCATTGATCTATATCTCTGTTTTGGTACCAGTACCATGCTGTTTTGGTTACTGTAGCCTTGTAGTATAGTTTGAAGTCAGGTAGCGTGATGCCTCCAGCTTTGTTCTTTTGGCTTAGGATTGACGTGGCGATGCAGGCTCTTTTTTGGTTCCATATGAACTTTAAAGTAGTTTTTTCCAATTCCGTGAAGAAAGTCATTGGTAGCTTGATGGGGATGGCATTGAATCTGTAAATTACCTTGGGCAGTATGGCCATTTTCACGATATTGATTCTTCCTACCCAGGAGCATGGAATGTTCTTCCATTTGTTTGTATCCTCTTTTATTTCATTGAGCAGTGGTTTGTAGTTCTCCTTGAAGAGGTCCTTCACATCCCTTGTAAGTTGGATTCCTAGGTATTTTATTCTCTTTGAAGCAATTGTGAATGGGAGTTCACTGATGATTTGGCTCTCTGTTTGTCTGTTGTTGGTGTATAAGAATACTTGTGATTTTTGTACATTGATTTTGTATCCTGAGACTTTGCTGAAGTTGCTTATCAGCTTAAGGAGATTTTGGGCTGAGACAATGGGGTTTTCTAGATATACAATCATGTCATCTGCAAACAGGGACAATTTGAATTCTTCTTTTCCTAACTGAATACCCTTTATTTCCTTCTCCCGCCTAATTGCCCTGGCCAGAACTTCCAACACTGTGTTGAATAGGAGTAGTGAGAGAGGGCATCCCTGTCTTGTGCCAGTTTTCCAAGGGAATGCTCCCAGTTTTTGCCCATTCAGTATGATATTGGCTGTGGGTTTGTCATAGATAGCTCTTATTATTTTGAAATACGTCCCATCAATACCTAATTTATTGAGAGTTTTTAGCATGAAGGGTTGTTGAATTTTGTCAAAGGCCTTTTCTGCATCTATTGAGATAATCATGTGGTTTTTGTCTTTGGTTCTGTTTATATGCTGGATTACATTTATTGATTTGCGTATATTGAACCAGCCTTGCATCCCAGGGATGAAGTCCACTTGATCATGGTGGATAAGCTTTTTGATGTGCTGCTGGATTCGGTTTGCCAGTATTTGATTGAGGATTTTTGCATCAATGTTCATCAAGGATATTGGTCTAAAATTCTCTTTTTTGGTTGTGTCTCTGCCAGGCTTTGGTATCAGGATGATGCTGGCCTCATAAAATGAGTTAGGGAGGATTCCCTCTTTTTCTATTGATTGGAATAGTTTCAGAAGGAATGGTACCAGTTCCTCCTTGTACCTCTGGTAGAATTCGGCTGTGAATCCGTCTGGTCCTGGACTCTCTTTGGTTGGTAAGCTATTGATTATTGCCACAATTTCAGATCCTGTTATTGGTCTATTCAGAGATTCAACTTCTTCCTGGTTTAGTCTTGGGAGACTGTATGTGTTGAGTAATTTATCCATTTCTTCTAGATTTTCTAGTTTATTTGCATAGAGGTGTTTGTAGTATTCTCTGATGGTAGTTTGTATTTCTGTGGGATCGGTGGTGATATCCCCTTTATCATTTTTTATTGCGTCTATTTGATTCTTCTCTCTTTTTTTCTTTATTAGTCTTGCTAGCGGTCTATCAATTTTGTTGATCATTTCAAAGAACCAGCTCCTGGATTCATTAATTTTTTGAAGGGTTTTTTGTGTCTCTATTTCCTTCAGTTCCGCTCTGATTTTAGTTATTTCTTGCCTTCTGCTAGCTTTTGAATGTGTTTGCTCTTGCTTTTCTAGTTCTTTTAATTGTGATGTTAGGGTGTCAATTTTGGATCTTTCCTGCTTTCTCTTGTGGGCATGTAGTGCTATAAATTTCCCTCTACACACTGCTTCAAATGCGTCCCAGAGATTCTGGTATGTTGTGTCTTTGTTCTCATTGGTTTCAAAGAACATCTTTATTTCTGTCTTCATTTCGTTATGTACCCAGTAGTCATTCAGGAGCAGGTTGTTCAGTTTCCATGTAGTTGAGCGGTTTTGAGTGAGATTCTTAATCCTGAGTTCTAGTTTGATTGCACTGTGGTCTGAGAGATAGTTTGTTATAATTTCTGTTCTTTTACATTTGCTGAGGAGAGCTTTACTTCCAAGTATGTGGTCAATTTTGGAATAGGTGTGGTGTGGTGCTGAAAAAAATTTATATTCTGTTGATTTGGGGTGGAGAGTTCTGTAGATGTCTATTAGGTCTGCTTGGTGCAGAGCTGAGTTCAATTCCTGGGTATCCTTGTTGACTTTCTGTCTCATTGATCTGTCTAATGTTGACAGTGGGGTGTTAAAGTCTCCCATTATTAATGTGTGGGAGTCTAAGTCTCTTTGTAGGTCACTCAGGACTTGCTTTATGAATCTGGGTGCTCCTGTATTGGGTGCATATACATTTAGGATAGTTAGCTCTTCTTGTTGAATTGATCCCTTTACCATTATGTAATGGCCTTCTTTGTCTCTTCTGATCTTTGTTGGTTTAAAGTCTGTTTTATCAGAGACTAGGATTGCAACCCCTGCCTTTTTTTGTTTTCCATTTGCTTGGTAGATCTTCCTCCATCTCTTTATTTTGAGCCTATGTGTGTCTCTGCATGTGAGATGGGTTTCCTGAATACAGCACACTGATGGGTCTTGACTCTTTATCCAATTTGCCAGTCTGTGTCTTTTAATTGGAGCATTTAGTCCATTTACATTTAAAGTTAATATGGTTATGTGTGAATTTGATCCTGTCATTATGATGTTAGCTGGTTATTTTGCTCGTTAGTTGATGCAGTTTCTTCCTAGTCTCGATGGTCTTTACATTTTGGCATGATTTTGCAGCGGCTGGTACCGGTTGTTCCTTCCATGTTTAACGCTTCCTTCAGGAGCTCTTTTAGGGCAGGGCTGGTGGTGACAAAATCTCTCAGCATTTGCTTGTCTGTAAAGTATTTTATTTCTCCTTCACTTATGAAGCTTAGTTTGGCTGGATATGAAATTCTGGGTTGAAAATTCTTTTCTTTAAGAATGTTGAATATTGGCCCCCACTCTCTTCTGGCTTGTAGAGTTTCTGCCGAGAGATCTGCTGTTAGTCTGATGGGCTTCCCTTTGAGGGTAACCCGACCTTTCTCTCTGGCTGCCCTTAACATTTTTTCCTTCATTTCAACTTTGGTGAATCTGACAATTATGTGTCTTGGAGTTGCTCTTCTTGAGGAGTATCTTTGTGGCGTTCTCTGTATTTCCTGAATCTGAATGTTGGCCTGCCTTGCTAGATTGGGGAAGTTCTCCTGGATAATATCCTGCAGAGTGTTTTCCAACTTGGTTCCATTCTCCCCATCACTTTCAGGTACACCAATCAGACGCAGATTTGGTCTTTTCACATAGTCTCATATTTCTTGGAGGATTTGCTCGTTTCTTTTTATTCTTTTTTTCTCTAAACTTCCCTTCTCGCTTCATTTCCTTCATTTCATCTTCCATCGCTGATACCCTTTCTTCCAGTTGATCCCATCGGCTCCTGAGGCTTCTGCATTCTTCATGTAGTTCTCGAGCCTTGGTTTTCAGCTCCATCAGCTCCTTTAAGCACTTCTCTGTATTGGTTATTCTAGTTATACATTCTTCTAAATTTCTTTCAAAGTTTTCAACTTCTTTGCCTTTGGTTTGAATGTCCTCCCATAGCTCGGAGTAATTTGATCATCTGAAGCCTTCTTCTCTCAGCTCGTCAAAGTCATTTTCTCCGTCCAGCTTTGTTCCATTGCTGGTGAGGAACTGCGTTCCTTTGGAGGAGGAGAGGTGCTCTGCTTTTTAGAGTTTCCAGTTTTTCTGCTCTGTTTTTTCCCCATCTTTGTGGTTTTATCTACTTTTGGTCTTTGATGATGGTGATGTACAGATGGGTTTTTGGTGTGGATGTCCTTTCTGTTTGTTAGTTTTCCTTCTAACAGACAGGACCCTCAGCTGCAGGTCTGTTGGAGTACCCGGCCGTGTGAGGTGTCAGTCTGCCCCTGCTAGGGGGTGCCTCCCAGTTAGGCTGCTTGGGGTTCAGGGGTCAGGGACCCACTTGAGGAGGCAGTCTGCCCATTCTCAGATCTCCAGCTGCATGCTGGGAGAACCACTGCTCTCTTCAAAGCTGTCAGACAGGGACACTTAAGTCTGCAGAGGTTACTGCTGTCTTTTTGTTTGTCTGTGCCCTGCCCCCAGAGGTGGAGCCTACAGAGGCAGGCAGGCCTCCTTGAGCTGTGGTGGGCTCCACCCAGTTCGAACTTCCTGGCTGCTTTGTTTACCTAAGCAAGCCTGGGCAATGGCGGGCACCCCTCCCCCAGCCTCGCTACCGCCTTGCAGTTTGATCTCAGACTGCTGTGCTAGCAATCAGCGAGACTCCGTGGGCGTAGGACCCTCCGAGCCAGGTGCGGGATATAGTCTCCTGGTGCGCCGTTTTTTAAGCCCGTCGGAAAAGTGCAGTAGTCAGGTAGGAGCGACCCTATCTTCCAGGTGCCGTCTGTCACCCCTTTCTTTGACTAGGAAAGGGAACTCCCTGACCCCCTGCGCTTCCCGAGTGAGGCAATGCCTCGCCCTGCTTTGGCTCGTGCACGGTGCATGCACCTACTGACCTGCGCCCACTGTCTGGCACTCCTTAGTGAGAGGAACCCGGTACCTCAGATGGAAATGCAGAAATCACCCATCTTCTGCGTAGCTCACGCTGGGAGGTGTAGACGGGAGCTGTTCCTATTCGGCCATCTTGGCTCCTCCCCCCCCCAGCATTCATACTTCTAAATGCAGTGGATAAATATATTGCTTTTATTTTCTATGATATATGACATTAGTTAAAACACCTTGCTTTCTACTTATATCCCAAAATCTACCGATGAAAGATTGAAGAATTGAGCTCCACATGAAAAAAATGCAGAATCCAAGGGAAAGGAGGCAAGGTGTCAGGAAGGCAGAAATAAGAAAAAAAGTATCATTCTGTGTCTTATGCAGTTAATAGACCATAACATGGCAAGAGAGAGCTCCATTTTTAGAAAGTCACTGCAATATACAGGGAACATTAATGTATATAGGAAATAAATTGACATTTATTAAGTACCTACTAGGTAGTTCTGTTCTGAACACTTAACATTTAATCACCCCAACAACAATAAAATTCTCTAAGTTTCTCTCTTTTCCATAGCCTCTTCAAAGGTGTTCTGACCTTAGTTCCATCAGCAACCTCTCAATGCTATTCTGCTTGATGCCAGGAGCCTGCATGATATCTGGCCATGAAATTCAATAAACCAAAAGCAATCTTTCCCACTGGAGCCATGTCCGCTGTGGCCTGGGAGCAGCATGGCCAATAAAAGGAAGGATTGTTTGGGAGACTACAAACCACACATGAGGGCACCATCCTATGTCCCTCTGTGGTTCATCGAACCCTATAGAGTGCTGTAGTACGCTGCACACTGCTCTTTGTGCAAATTCAAGTCCCTAACAAACGTATTAGTGAGTCAATGGAAATCTTCTTATCAGAAATATAAGCAAGTCTGATGACCTCTGCAACAAATCCGATCCAAGAGTACCTAAGAGAGCAACACACATGACTCAAGAGCACGATCCAGTGTCATGTTTGGGGTCACAAACCATTTTGAGACTCTCATGGGAGAGATGGATCTGCCAACCAGAAAAAAGGGAAAATTTATGCCCATACTGAAAATGTTACAAGCAATATTTGGGGATTCATTAGTCACTTGCAGCACACCATGGCAGACATGGCTTGCTGCCTGACCACGTCCACCCTGCTCTTCTCTATTACATAAAGAGCTGCAGTTGGACTTGGAGTTCAGTCGGCCCAGCTAAATGATGCCATCTTCACGTCTCTCTTACAACTGTAGCAAGACAATGGGATGTAAGCAGAAGCAATCGAGTGGGGCTTCTCTGAAACTTCCAGAAAAGCTAGAGATGCTCACATCTACCTTTTATTTCTTTTCTTTGTTGTCTGGGAAGTTCCCAGATACAATGACACTAGTGTGAGCCTAATAAATTCTTAAGAAAGAGCACTGGAGGCAGAAGAAAGTGTCTAGGGTCATCTGTACTTTACAAGTTTGAAGAACAAGGAGACCAGTGGGCTAGAATCAGGTGAGTGAGAAAAGAGGTGGGCAATGTGGTCAAGGTGGGAATAGGAGGCATGATCCTGCAGGGCCTTATGAGCCCAGGAGAAGGTCTCTGAGTTTTATTTAGAATGCCATGTAAAGCCATTGCAGCATTCCAAACAAAGAAGTGATAGGATCTGATGTTCTGAAGTATCATTCTGTGTCTTATGCAGTTAATAGACCATAATATGGCAAGAGAGAGCTCAATTTTTAGAAAGTCACTGCAATATACAGGGAACATTAATGTATATAAAATTCCAAACATGAACATGAGTCCCCACCAACACATGCACATATACATATTCAAAAGCAAATCATGTTTTAAGTTAGACAGAATCCTTAGAAATATGGTCTAAGCCCCAGCTCTGCCTTGCTCCCTCATCTCCAGGTAAGGAAACCTAGATCCAGAAAGAGGTTGTATGGATGAGGTCTAGAACTGGAACTAGGGTCATAAACTGATGATCTGAGTGAAATGAGATAAATGTGTTTCTTAAGTACAATTTATTTGTTGAAATGGTACTTCTAAATGTTACTGGAGTACCTTGAAGCAAGAAATGTACTCTGATTTACTACAGGGCCCACAAATCCCTAAGGCCTCATACTCAGGTGACTAGATAGGTAGGTAAGCAGGTAGATAGGTAGATAAATGATAGATGGATAAACAGATGATGGATGGATGGATAGGTAGATAAATATAACTTGTCCCTGGTCTCTGTTTTCAAATACCTCAGTTGCATGACCTCAAAACCTTTTTGTTTTTAATAGAAACAATTACTTGCCTTCAGCCTATCATCACCTTAGCCAAAGTTCAGCCCAATCTCCTGCACATGCAGCATCTGAACATGAAGGTTCACCAGCCTCTGCTTGGCCATCTTCTTAAGCAAGAAGCTCACTCATAGACCAGTGGTTGATTTTTGGACAGCTCTGGATGATTGAAACTACCCTTAATATTGAGCCCATTTTTTCTCCCTGTAATTTTCATTTCACTTACTCCTATACTCCAAAGTTGTACATCTGAATCCCACTCCCACATGACATCCCTTCAAATATTTACCAAAGCTAACACACCCTTTCTTTGTCTTCTCAGTTACACAATCAATATTTTCAGTTTTTATAAACATTCTCCAGATATTTTATTTTGAGGCTATTCTACATACAGCTTACTCTCTTTTGTAAGGGGTCTTGAGTTTTCAAGTGACATTGAGAACTGGACATGTGTTCCTTAGAATGTAATGTGCATAGAGTGGAAAACAGGTTTACCAAGATATTCTACAATAGGGAAAAAAGACCATTTACCCCTCGCTTCCCAATCCTGAGGTATGGTGATAAGAGAGAGTAAACAGCACCTGGGAGGCCCCACAGGACATCCTAAGAGGAGAGCTGGTTCTCACTTAGGGCAAGAAGGTGAAAGATTATTTGGAAAAGAGGTTCAGGATGACAAGGAGTTTGCTGACTAAGAAGCATTTCCAGAAGGCAGAGTGGATGGTTTCGGAGTAAGGGACATTGAGAGTTGAGTCAGGCCTAGAGGCTGTCATCACTCTCGCTACTGTTACTCCTAGGAAAATGTACCCCTTTTTAAATTAACTTTACCAACCCTTGCACTTACCTGTAAAATGGCCCTTTATTAAAGTCTTCTCAAATCAGTCTATTGGAATGTGTCATCTATTTTCCTCTGAGTGCGTAAAGGGTATACAACTCTAAGTATTTGCTGATTAAATGAAGAGCTCACCTTTACTGTACAATTATCACATTACATTCTAAGAAACATATGGCCAATTCTCAATTTCACTTCTGTGTTTAATAAGGGAAAGAACAGATATTGGAGAATATGAAATTTTCAATTTAAATTCCACTTTAAATACCAGAAACTTTCTCCTGATTCCACCAAACAAGCTGTATAACAAGCCCTCTCACACTAATTTAATCTCCTCACATCTATCAATAGTTGGATTAACACAAATAAATCAATAAATACAATCTCTTTTGACTTTAGCAAGACTTTTGACTAAGTTGTTGACAGAAGAAAACTCAAAACACTGAAAACGTGGTCATGACACAAAGTTTTGTACCAACTAGAACATTCGCAGCTACATCAGCATTACCTTGTATTCTGTAATATTTTCTTCTTTAGTGAATGAGGGTGCCCACAGCTCAGAAGAAGGGGATAAAAATAGAAACACAAAATAAATTATTACAGAAAGAATATAACTGCCTTTTTAGAGTTACCAAAAAAGTGTCGTGATGGCTCAAAAGAGGCAAGGGAAAAATGGCTAGCTATGTCATCAAAGCTTTGACCAAAAAAGTAGAATCTCAGATGGTGCCAGTTGTAAAGATTAAGTAAAATTACACATATTACAGCTTAAAACAGTGATTTCCACAAATTGTTGTTTTTTAAAAATATATATCTATTTTTTTAAAAAAAATATATATATATAGCTATTAAGAAGATGCTGGTGATGACAATGATTTGAAGGACAGAGTATCCTATAATTAGAGTATCATGGCAGAATACGAGTAGGGGCAAGTTAAAGGTCTTGATTGGTATTTGAATACCATTGTTTTAGAATTAGCCATCAAAGGGAGGCAGGTGTGGTTGTGAGTACAGTTGTGGTATCATGGTGGCTCTGCTTCCAAACAAAAGCAGTCAGTGAGTCAAGCAGTATACTCTGGAATGAGGAGACCCAGAAGCAAGCCCCCAAGAAACAGCAGCAGCAGCAGCCTGGACTACAGTGGTAGTAACAGAGGAGTAGGGGAAGATACCTGCAGAAAATACTGCCAAGGCAGGACTTATAGACTCTGTGCTCTGCATGTGGAAAGGAAAGAAGAGAAGGGGCCCAAGATGACTCTGTGGTTTCAAGCCTGGGGGATTGAGAGAAATAAGGCACCATTCACAGAAATAAAATGTGAGGAGACAGTTTTGTGCCTGCATCATTAGCATTATTTGCATCTTACCTTCATCCAGAAGGCCTCTGCACACACACAAACACACACACCCCTGCATGCAGACACACCCCAAATGCAACGCAATGAAATAATCCCTTGTCAGACCCAATGATAGCCAGAAATAATCAATGAATCTATTTCCCTCTCTTTAAAAATAAATATGGTAATTGTCCATCTTGTAGCACTCATTTTTTTAATCAATAACTCCCCCTTGCTTGGAAGGAGGCACTTGCTTGCAAGCATTCTGGAAAGCAATATAAATCAATATATTTTCAGCAGCCTACCAAATAACTTTCTATATACCCATCCAGAGGTTAGGTAGCTTCAAAGGTAATAAAAACCCAAAGTGGCTCCCAAACCTACTCAATCTTTAAACCTCCTATAAACAAAAGGCTCCCAAAGTTAGTAATTAGGAGCGAGTACTGGGAACACTATTAAGAGCTGAGATGCCCAGAAGAAGAGAAGGAACAATAAGGTTTAATGGAAGGAAAACTGAATTGGGACTTTTATTTCAAGCTCTCTAATTAACTTGCTAGGTGACCTTGGGCAAATATCTTAATCTCTCCTCACTTGTGTTCTTCCCACTGTAAAAAGGAGTAACAATGGTATTTACCAATGACATACCTCCTGGGAGTATTGCAAAGATGAACAAGATACAATTTATAAAGCACCATGAGCCCTACTCTGAAATGGGCTACGGAAGTCCAACTTCACCCATGTTAAATCTATGCACACTCAAAATGCATTTCCTATTATGTAGTTTACATAATGTTACCTATATCTGACTACATGAACTGTCCATGCACATGCATAAGTAGTTTGTCCATTAATTCCCTTCTTGCCTCATTGTGATTTCCCTGCCCTGCTTAATTGGCTAAACCCTCATGAATGCTGCTCAGGCCCTTTTCTTTATTAACCATGTTAAAATAAATGGTTTCTCCACCAGTTTTTTTAGAGACTTTAAATAAATTTTTAAAAACCATAAAGAATGGAATCAAAAGCTGCTTGAAGTAGAATGCTTTTCTTCCATTGGTCAATATTTCATGTATCTAAGACATATATTTGACTTTATGTAATTGGCAAATGCTCACTTCAATTCTTTTGGATTAGACAGAATCCCTAGCTTCCAGCTTCCCACAGCTGTTTTTTGTCTTTTTACTTTTAATACACTATGCTACAGACAAAGATTTGTATAGCAGAAAGGAGCCGCTTTTTCCTCAATTTTTCTCAACAACAAAAAATGTCACCTAATAGCAAGAATAGTAACTTACAAAAGACAGTGTGCAATTGAGATCCTCCATAGCTAAACTGTTCATAATGAAAAGCAAATTCCAGTGAAAGATAAAGGGAGAAAAAAGCAGGCAGGCAGACAAAAAAGAAGGAAGGAAGGAAGGAAGGAAGGAAGGAAGGAAGGAAGGAAGGAAGGAAGGAAGGAAGGAAGGAAGGAAGGAAAGTTTATTTGATTCGCACACACGTTCAGGCCTATGGTTTATCCCAGGTGTAAATGCCAGTTCAGATGTTAAACCTCAGCAGTTGGCACAAACTTCCCTTTGCCTATAGGGTACCTAGATGAGACCTCAAAATTGTTGCTATCAATTAAACTAGAATCCACTGGCCAGATCTTAGCCAAGCTTATGTGGGCTTGAGAACTGCCCAGCTGCCACGGACTGTTCTCATTGAAGTGATTAGAACCACCTGCAAGTCTGTCATCATTGTCCTTTGTCCAGGCCACTGTGTGGAGTGGGCCATACATAAACACTCCCTGCTGAACCAGGAAATTGGGTCCACAGGATAGATTCTGACAAGGAGTTGAAAGAAGACTGATCAGTCCAATTTAAATGACCCCCTTTCATCAGAAAATTAGATTACCATAGAAAATGAATGTCTTGAAGATGACTGTTTAATGAGTTCACTTCATTTGCAAAATGCCATTCATTTTATGTGCATGCCTGTGGTCCCAAACCAATACGCTTCTCCCTGTGGCTCAACATGAATACCTATCACTGGCTGAGAGGAGAAAGGCAAAGAAAGAAAAGAAAGGGAGGAAAAAAAGGTGTACCTTAGAATGCTCAGCTTTGTACATTTTCTAAGCACTTCAAGATGACTTCTCATAAGCCTCTCAATATATCTGTGTAAATTAGGATTAAAACTAAAGGAAAAGGCACTTGCAGTTTCAATTTGGAGATCAAAGTTCAAATCAAGATTGGAGAAGAAAGTAAATCAAGGTTTCTTTTATCAAAAATCCCTGGTGATTATTTTTTCACCGCTGAAAGAAGCTAGGATTAGTATGTGCTGATGGATGTAAGAAACTCCTATAGCTCATCAGCACATGAGTTCAACCATTCCCTCAGCATGTACATTCTAGGATTCACGACATTCACAGGGCTCGAGGCAGCTAAACATAGAAGTGTCCCCTTTGTCAAGAAAAAAATGTTATATAGTGAATGACAGAATTAGAAGATGCCAGATAAAATGGACTGTAAAATTATTATATCATGTTTTTCTTTTCTATATAGTAACTTTTTCACTGGACTTTTTCCTAACTATACTATTCTAACTAAAACACCCATACCAATATACTTTTTTAAAGATGGAGTGAAAGGATCAGAAAATTTTCTCCCCCAAAAAACAAATAGTGAATGGAAAAAATATCAAAACAACTACTTTAAAGTCTCTGATAACTGACCAAAATGGAGAAATATTTACTTATGAACAACCACTGAATTTTAGATAACAGCACTGGGAGTGCATAGTGTTCTCACCTGGGGCTGCTTTCATCTCCCCTGCCAGCTCTGTGAATGTGGCAGTGCTTCCAGGACAGCACAGGAAGGACAGAGCAGAAAGAAGACATCTAGCATACTTTAAAACTCCCTTAACATTGAATATGCTCAGATCCATCAGCAGGGTAGAAATTTCACTGGCATAGAGTTTGGGCATAAACTTTAAACAACTGCCAGCTAAAAAAACAAGTAATGCAGATTCCGGAGAAAGCTTTAGGAAGCTAGACTCAAAAATGATCATTTAAACAAAAACCAGCAAAGACATCATCAGCTCCACATTATAGAGGAAACAAATACTGGAGATTAAGTCCAGGCAAGTTACAATTAAAAACAAAAATAGCAATAGCAGTAGTAACCCTCAAGAAAAAAATTCACTAACATCTTGTCTAAAATGTCTAAAATGTCAAGATCTTCATAAAAATATTATGAGACAGGCAAAAATCAGGAAGTCTGACTCACATTTAGGGAAAGAAAATAGTCACTAGAAATTGACTGTGAGTTGGCCCAGATACAAAATTTAGCAGACAAATATTAACTGCAAAGCAACTAACATGATGCTTAAAAATTCCAGAAACTATGTATATTCAAAGAATTAAATTAAAACATGATTAAAATGACTCTACAAATAGGTATTCTCAATAAAGATATAGAAACTATTAAAAAAATAGTATAAATCTTGGAGTTATAAAATACCATAACTGAAATGAAAACTTTACTGGATGAGTTTAACCACTGAATGTGGAATGGTAAAGGAAAGAATCAGTGAATGTAAAGAAGGATTAACAGAAATAATTCAGTGTAAACAAGAGAGCAAAAAATTAAAGAAAATGAATAAAAATGGATTAAAGAAAGACAGCTGTAGAACAGCAACAAGCATATCAGCATACATGTGATAGGAGTTCCAGACACAGAGAAGAGTGAGAAAGGGGAAGAAAAATAATGGAAGAGTGGCCAATGGCTTCCCAAATTTGATTTTTTAAAAAAAAACCCACTAATAAACAGATCCAAGAGGTTCATAACTCACCACATATCATCACATATATAGAAGTATTGATACAATTAATGTCTAGTTGTCCAGCTGAAACAATGGAGGCCAGAATGCAATGGAATGAACTTTTCAAAGTACTAAAAAAAAATCAGACAAGAATTCTATATCCAGTGAAACTGTCCTTTAAAAATAAAAGTGAAATAAAGACATTCCCAGACAAAGATTGAGAGAACATGTTGATAGCAGATATGTCTTATGACAAAGACTAAAGGAAGGCCATTAAACTGAAAGGAGATGGCATCAGATGGTAACTTGGATCCATAGGAAGAAATGAAGAGAACTGCAAATGTTTAATAGGAACCTTCATATCAAAGACTTCATAAAGTCTTTCTCTTAACTTTTTTAAAAAGATATGATCAACTAAAGTAATAATTATAACTGTGTACTAGGAGGTTTATAAAAATATGTAAATCACAGTCATAACGAAAAGGAGGGGGCAGGGAATGGGGATATATTAGAGCAAAAGTTTAAGGTGATATTAATCTGAAGTAAATTGTTCTACTACATGATGAATATTGTAATACATAGAGCAATAATTAGAAAAGTACCTAAAAATATAGCAAAAAATTAAAATGATATACTAAAAATATGTTGTTTAACACAAAGTAAGACAATAAAGATCAGAGGCAAAAAATAAGATATAAAACATACAGAATACAAACAACATATGGCAGATGTAACTATAACTATATCATAGTTACATTAAATGTCAATGGATTAAATATCCTAACCAAAAGGCAGAGATTGGCATATTGGTTTAAAAGGCAAGATTCAACTACACGCTATCTACAAGAGACAAATTTATGATTCAAATACAAAAACATATTGAAAGTAAACGAATGGAAAAAGATATTCCATGTAAAACTTAACCATAAGACATGCATTGATTTAGATAAAATATAATTTAAAACAAGAAACATCTCTAGAAAAAGGAAGGGGATATCTTAATAAAAAGACTCAGTACTTCAAAATATTTTAAGATTACAAATACCTGCCCCTAACAACAAAACCGCTAAATACATTAAACCAAAATAGACAATTGAATAAAAAACTAAGTGATTCAACATTTGTAGTTGGAGTCCATACCTACTTCTAAATAATTGATGAAACAGATATACAGAAAACATCAAAGATATAGATAACTTACACGAGCAACCAACATGACCAAACTGACCATGATAGAACACTCTACCCATACAGAATACATACATATTTTTCAAGAACATAAAGATTATTCTCCAAGACAGGCCATATGATAATCTAATAAAAAGTTGCAAATTGAAAAGGATTTAAAAATTTAATCTGACATCAGATTATAGCAAAGTTAAATTAGAAGTCTATAATAGAAAGAAATTAGGGGCATCACAAATACTTGAAAATTTAAAAATGTATTTTTAAAAGGCTTTTAAAAATATTTTAGGCCGGGCGCGGTGGCTCACGCCTGTAATCCCAGCACTTTGGGAGGCCGAGGCGGGTGGATCATGAGGTCAGGAGACTGAGACCATCCTGGCTAACAAGGTGAAACCCCGTCTCTACTAAAAATACAAAAAATTAGCCGGGCGCGGTGGCGGGCGCCTGTAGTCCCAGCTACTCGGGAGGCTGAGGCAGGAGAATGGCGCGAACCCGGGAGGCGGAGCTTGCAGTGAGCCGAGATTGCGCCACTGCAGTCCGCAGTCCGGCGTGGGCGACAGAGCGAGACTCCGTCTCAAAAAAAAAAAAAAAAAAAAAAAATATTTTAAACTGAATAAAAAAACAAAGTATCAAAATTTATGATTCAAAAGCAATAAAGAGAAATTCATGCCTTTAAACACTTATTTAGAAAATGAGGTCTCGGCCGGGCGCGGTGGCTCACGCCTGTAATCCCAGCACTTTGGGAGGCCGAGGCGGGCGGATCACGAGGTCAGGAGATCGAGACCATCCTGGCTAAAACGGTGAAACCCCGTCTCTACTAAAAATACAAAAAATTAGCCGGGCGTAGTGGCGGGCGCCTGTAGTCCCAGCTACTTGGGAGGCTGAGGCAGGAGAATGGCGTGAACCCGGGAGGCGGAGCTTGCAGTGAGCCGAGATTGCGCCACTGCACTCCAGCCTGGGCGACAGAGCGAGACTCCGTCTCAAAAAAAAAAAAAAAAAAAAAAAAAAAGAAAATGAGGTCTCAAACCAATAATCTAAGCTTTGACCTTGAGAAACTGGCAAAATAAGAGAAAATTAAACCTAAATCAAAAATATAAGAAATAAAACCATATCAGAGTGAAAAACACAATAGTAAAGAGAAAAAAACAAGTATAATTAATGGAAAGGAAAGTTAGTTATCAGAAAAAATCAAAACATTGATAAAACTTTAGCTAGACTAACCAAGAAGAAAAAAACAAAAGGACTGGATTCATACATTATTAAAGTCAATATAAAAGTGTGAACATTTTTAATAATGCTATAAAATTTAAAAGATTATAAGGGAATCTTGTGAAAATTATACATTTTTATAACATCATCTAAAAATTACGCTACCTAGGTAAAACACAAATTTCCAGAAAGCCACAAATATCAAAATAGACTAAAAAATAAAGGAAAAGTTTTGCATTGACCTATAACATGAAAAGAAATTAAACTAGTAATTAAAAATCTTTCCAAAAGAACACACAGGCCTAGATAGCTTCATGAGTAAATTCTGTAAGATGTTAAAGATGCACTAACACTAATTCTATTATAAACTTTTTGTGAAAATAAAGAAGAATGCCAAAGTCATTCTCTGAGATTATTATGTCCCCAAAAGCAAAATCAGATAAAAATATTACAAGAATATAAAACTGCCGAGAAAGTTATTCATAAAGATAGTTGAAAAAATATTTAATAGAATATTAATAATGAAAACAATATTACCAGAAGAATTACACACCATGACCAAGTGGTATTAGTCTCAGGAATTCAAGGTCAAGTTGGCATAGAAAAACAGTTAGTGTAATCACAATATTAATATTTAGGTTGGTGCAAAATAATTGCGGTTTTGCCATTAATGGCAAAAGTAATTACTTTGGTAATGCCATTAGTTTTGTAATGCCAGTAATGGCATTAATTTTAAGGCAAAAACTGCAATTACTTTTGCACCAACCTGATAGAACAGGGGAAAAAAATTCGTAATGATTTCAATAGATGCAGAAAGGCATTTTGATAAAATCCAATGCCTATTCATAATAAAACCCCACTGGCTAAGTGGGGATAAAAAGGGAACTTCCTCAACCTTATAAAAAAATCTGCAAAGAACCTACAGCTAACATATTACTTAATGATAAAAGACAGAATGCTTTAAGATCAGAAAGAAGATAAAAATCTCTGCTCTCATCACTGCTGTTCAACATTGTACTGGAGGTTCTGGACAGTGCAATAAGGCAACAAAATTTAAAGATCTGCAGATTGAAAAAGAAAAAGTAAAAGCTGTCCTTAGGTGCTGATGACATAATCTTATATGTAGAAAATCATAAGAAATCCTCAAAAAACCTACTAGAAAGAATAAACAATTTTACCAATATTGTAGAACACAAGATCAATATACAAATCCAATTTCTACACATCAACAATGAACATTCAGAAATAAAATTAAGGAAATAATTCCATTCATAAGAGCATAAAAATTAAATACTTCAGAATAAATTTAACAAATGAAGTACAAACCCTATACGATAAAAAACTATAAAATGTTGCTGAGGAAAATTAAAGACATTATAAACCAATGGAGACACATTCCATGTACATGGATTAGAAGATTCAAAATTGTTAAAATGACAATTCTGTCCTAAGTGAACTATATGTCCAGTAAAAAAAGAAAAAGAACAAAAGAAAACAAAGAATCTGTTGTATAAATTGGCAAGCTAGTCTTAAAATGGATATGAAAATACAAAGAACCTAGATTTGCCAGAACAATTTTGAAAAATAAATGAGGAAAACTTACATTAATGTATTTAATAAATTACTATAAAGATATACTATATTCTATATTGGCATAAGAATAGACAAATAGATCAATGAAACTGAACAGAAAGTCCAATAACAAAACCCTTATATTTATGGTTAATAGATTTTCAACCAAAGTGCCAAAGCAATTTGATGAAAAAAGGATAGTCTTTTCAATAAGCAGTAATGGTGCTGGGATAATGGGATATCCAAATGTAAATATATGAAGATTTCTTAGCTATGACATCAAAAGTACAAGCCATTAAAATAATCGATAAATTGGATTTTATCAATATTTAAAATTTGGCTCTTCATAAGATGCAAATTTAAAAATTAAAAGGCATGCCACAGACTAAGAGACAATATTCTCAAGTTGTATCTGATAAGGATTTGTATCTAGAGTATAAACCACACAGTTTAACAATGCGAAAAATATTTAAGTAAACATTATAGCCAAAAGGATTTTTTAAATGGCCAATAAGCACATAAGATGATCAACATTATTTTTCAGTCAATAGGAAAATTAAAACCATAATAACCACTACATGCCCATTAAAATGGCTATAGTCAAAAAGATGGAATACAAAATGGTCCAGTGAATTTGGAAGACAGTTTACCAATTTCTTTGAAAAGTCAACATAAATGTATCATAAGACACGACAATTTCACTCCTAGGTATTTACCCAAGCAAAAGGAAAATGTCCACACAAATACATGTATGCCAATGCTCACAGCAGCTGGACCATATAGCCAAATACTGGAATCAAACCAAATATCCATCAACTTGTAAGTGATGAATAAATGTAGCATGACAAGTATTCAGCAATTAAAAACAATGAACAGCTGCAATACAGATGAGCCTCAAAAATATAATGCTCTGTGAAGGATACCAGACAGACATTAAATACTACATATTGTATGATTTCATTTACATGAATTTTTTTTGAAAAGCAAGTCTACAGACACAGAGAGAAGATGAAAGATTGCCTGGGGCGGGGCTTGGGATTGATCATAAGAGGGATTTACTAAAAATTACTGAATTGTACACTTATAGTGGGTAAAATTGTGGTATGTAAATTATACCTAAATAAAACTGTTAAAAATGAGTAAAAAATCATGTGGCACATATACACCATGGAATACTATGCAGCCAAAAAAAATGATGAGTTCATGTCCTTTGTAGGGACATGGATGAAGCTGGAAACCATCATTCTCAGCAAACTATCGCAAGGACAAAAACTAAACACCGCATCTTCTCACTCATAGGTGGGAGTTGAACAATGAGAACACATGGACACAGGAAGGGGAACATCACACACCGGGGACTGTTGTGGGGTGGGGGGAGGGGGGAGGGATAGCATTAGGAGATATACCTAATGCTAAATGACGAGTTAATGGGTGCAGCACACCAACATGGCACATGTATATATATGTAACAAACCTGCACATTGTGCACACGTACCCTAAAACTTAAAGTATAATAGTAAAAAAAAATCATCATTACCAGAGAAGTCATTCATGTGTGAATCTCACAGTGGCACCAGTCTATAATACACTTATTCAAAAAGCATTGAACAAGGAACCAGAAGTCTTTCCATCCCCTGGAATGTGTCCTCAAGAAAGTAATTTGATATTTTAGAGCCTCAGTGTCTCCACTTGTAAATCAAGTGCAACACCAACCACTGTGCCCTACTGGACTTTTTCATTCACTAAAGTCAGCCCTTCATTCATTCAGCAACTACCCATTGGCTGTCAATCACCCTGCAAGGAGTTAGAGGTGCAACCCTGGGAACATAGGGCATAATAGCTTCCTATAAAGGAAGCTTCCTTGGAAGAACACACAAGATATGTGAATATCCACAGGCAACTGTACAGTCTCATACAAATGGAAGTGAATATTATTATGAAAATGGCTCGCGTTGAAAATGGAGCACTTTTATGACAATATGAAAATGATGTTTGCCCTCAAACTCAGAAATACCCAAACCGTGCCTGAAAAGGACAATGTAAGAGCCCTCTACCTACGATCCCAAGGAAAGGAAATATCCCTGAGAGACAGTGCAAACTAGAGCATCATTACTGGGTGGGATTTTTGACAGAAAGTCCAGCGTAGACTTAGGTGAGCTGGAGCCCATGGAGTGATTGGGAGCCTGAGGGTGTCTTTAGTCTTGGGCCCAAGGTTGCATCTTACTGTAACTTTTGCTGGTATCCTTGTAGAAAGAGACCAAAAGTGGAAGAATGCCAGAAAACTTAGCAACTAAGCCACGTATGGAAAATAACTGAATGCACCCTTAACCACATGACTTTTTAATGCATGCAGTCTACACCAAGCATGGGGTGGCTTGCACCTGCCTTCACGCTGGTGTGCTTTCTTCTCTGAGGAGAGGCCACGTGGGTCAGAGTGGTTCCTCCATCCAAGGCTGAGAATGTGTGGCCCAGTTCTAGGTCCTAGGGTGAGCTCTGTCAGGAAAGTACACCTCGAAGAAGTTATTCACCCGCTCTGTGCTTTATGTTGGCTTCTTCATCAAACTTCAAAATGTAAATAATTACATGTGGACTACTTCATTATCTCACAGAGTGCATATGTGTGTGGAACCCAATGTAAAGAAAGTCTTAAGTAGGTGAAAAACGTTCTCTTCTTTTCTTCTATAGATGAATGCATGCATGGATTCTCAATGTATTTATTCAACAAATATTTAGTGAGTATCTGCAGTTTTCTAAGCACTAAGCACAGTTATATTCACTCTCATGGAAGAAACAAAAAATGGCGGGGAACACAGTCATTCATCAAATAATCACGGTAGTGGAGGCATAATTACAAAACAAGTTGAATATTCCAAAAGAAAGGGAACCCAGGTCTCCAGGAGTGCATAGGAGAGGAAGCAGGCTGAGGCCGGGAAGTAAGGGAAGGTGTCCCAGAGAAGGGCACCCTTGAGCTGAGCTCTGATGGATGAGTAGGGTGACTGAACTGTGCTCGCTGAAGATGGAACAACCAGGGATTCAGTGAGGGGAAGGGAGGGCAGCCAGGCACAGGGAACAAAATGAGTTAATGCATCCATCCAAGCTGGAGGGAGTAGGACCTTGCCAAGGAACTGGATAGGGGAATATGCACAACAGAGGAGAGAATGGGTAGAGAGTGGTAGGAATGGAAGATGGACAAGGAGGCAGAGACCCAGTTCGCCCTGGCTCAGGGCTTGGAAAGGGTTTTGATCTTCATCTGGCAGCAACAGGATGCAGTGAGAGTCCACGTCAAATGCACTAACTACCTTTAAACTTGCACTCAATGAGTGCAAATCATCATTATTTATTCATATTGCTCAGAATCATATATATGGAAAAGATGTAACAAAACATTCAGTGCAAATAACTCACTGTACAGATGAGGTAATTAAGCAATGAACCACATTATCTCAGCTGCTGGCAGAATCCAGGCTTTCTGGGTTCCGGCCAAATGCTCTGACTTGTAGACACCTTTTCTCTTACAATTTCATATGACATTATGGGGATTAAACCTTATTTATATGACAAACCTCATTTTTAATTCAATTATTCATTTATTTAATAAATATTTATTGAGCATGTATGTGCCAGTCTCTGTGCTTAATAAATTATTACATTTTAATTATGGTGTGAATGGACAAGTGCCATGGATATGAAAGAGCCTAATACTCCCACTTATTCTCTCATTTATGACTGGAATTGATAGTAGACTGTCAGAAAATTACTGATTATGGCCCAGTTCTTCCAATTTATTGCAGGGCCATTGAATTATCTCTATAGAAGAAACATATTTTATAAAATCCAGGCCTAAAGAATACTTAAACATCTTTTGAAAAGGAATTTCCCTTACCTCATTATAAAAATACTTGTTCATTATAAAAAATATTAATATAAAAATACAAAGAATAAAAAACCCTCAATTCCACCATCGAAAAGGTAAGCATTAACTATATATTAGTATATTATTCCAGTTTTTGTCTCCTATGGGTCAGTTTCTTCAGATGATACCTTGAGGTTTCTCTGGCTTTTCAAATTTAATATTTTTACAATAGCATTTCCTAATATCATTAAAAATTCACGGTAAACATCAATTGATTTCCCAAATATAAATCAAATAAAATGATCAAATTTCTCTAGTTTTTTTTTTACCTTTTTTGCCATTATAAATTGTACAGCAAAAAGTGCTTTGTTGATAAAATGTTTTGCCAAACGTAACAGCCACTCGCATTTATTTTGTGTTCACTACATGCTTTGCACACATAATCTTAATTCATCTCCACAGTGATCCTTTTAGTTAAAAGCTGTTATTATCTATATTTTATAAATAAGGAAACTAAAGCTAGGGGAGAAGGCCAGGAGGATTACCTAACTTTTATTGAGCACCTGTTATATGCACGGCTGTGTGCTACAAGCTTTGTGTGCTCTCATCCGTTCCATCAGGTCACCTTTACTGTCATTCCCGTTTTACAGATGCGGTGACTAAGGCAAGAGCTCAGTAGGAAACTTTCCCAGGTTACACATGCCACATATGTTTGCACTGTGATTTGAATGGCAGGCTGGCTTTGCAGCCTGACTCTTTAGCAGTCCTAGGCGTGCACAGCTAGAAAATTGGAGGAATTTACAATTATCCCCTCAGGATGTATTCCCAGAAGTCAAATTACTGCTCTTGAAACACTCCTCTAAGCTGCTTTACAAGCATTTACCAAGTTACACTCCTATAAGGAAAGTGAGAAAGTGCCCATTGATGCAGGGCCTGTCCATTTGTTTTCAATCTTGCAATCATGAAAGAGGTATATTCTTAAAAATTTAAAGCTGGGCAAAATAAGCCTTCTGGCAACATATAGCTCTTGATTTCTATGTTTTACATTTAACTATGGCACACTCTGCTTCTGTAACAGTCACTGTCACCGAGCCTCCCCTCCTCCCCGTGACGAGGTTCCTGGTGACCTCACAGATGCAGCCCTCAGACATACAGGCACCCGTGTCAGGGCTCCCACTCGGCAAGGGAGGAAAATAAAAGGAGAATCAAGTGAAGGGAAAGGAGAAAGGAGGCAGAAGAGAACACAAGAAGTTCCCTTTAACAGGAGGAAAAGTAAGTAAACCTCAAGCCTGAATGTCTGAAATAGACACTAGGCATTTCTAATTGGAAATCATGAATTAGTGTGCTGTGGGAGTGCCTGCTGCTGAGCTGCTGAGCACAGCCTCACGCCTGCCAGAGCAGCCACATGTGTCACCTTCCCAGCTCCCAGGGAGGGCAGGGAGAGGTGAGCTAAGTTACAGGCTAATCAGAAGGCGCAGCTCCGTAGCTCCCTACAGACGCCCTGAGTCAGTGTGGAGTTTATTTGCCTTTGGGAAAAGGTGTCATGGAATATTTAAGTAAAGAAAAAGTGAGAAAAGGGTTCACACAGGAGCTCACCTCACATTTTAAGGACATCAAATAGAACTCACCAAACAACACCTGAATGATTCCAGTGTGAGTGAATCAGAAGCAGATAGATCAAATTTCTCCTAAACTGCATTTGCAGTTTAAAAAATCAAAGTGAAAACTGCCTTGGCCATAAGTCATTTATTTTTATCTTGAATTTAAAAATCAATGTGTTCTTCATGGCAGCCTCTGGGTAAAGATACAATAACATAAATATAATTAATGACCAATCAGCAGCAGAACCCCACTAGACTCAAACCTCATCCCCCTCATTCTTGTCATTTATTTGTTGAAATATCAACTTCCCATAAAGATGGAACAGCCTTAAACTCCAGTTCACTGGTTTAGAAACAGCACCAACCTGACAGGCATGTGGTGAAACCAGAGCTAATATTTACCGAACACTTTGACCACCTAATATGCTATACTGGCAGCAAATATCATTGTGAACTTTCTCTCTCAGATCATTTAAACCAGTGTTTGCATAATACCAAGATCTAAAAATGCAATGAATCATTTTAAAACATAAAACAAAAGTGAAAGACTTTAGAGATTAAACTGATAATAATTCTGTCAACTGGGCATAAAGCATTGTTTCTAGGCACTGTGTGGAAGTTTGCTGGAAATAACACTGACATAGTAACTGTATAAAGGTATCATACACTCCAGTTGCATCTTCCAATGGCTGACGATGGTCAATGGTTGGAACACTTGAGAGGTATGCGAGATTCCCCAAGTGCTCCAGGGCAGTGGATCTCACACTTGAGCAAGCATCAGCATCCACTGGAGGGCTGTTCAAACACAGCGACCCACGTCCAGGGTTCTGGTTGAGTGGGTCTGGGGTAGAACTTGAGAATGCAAGTTTCTAGCCAATTTTAAGGTCATGCAGATGCCGTTGTCCTACATACTATACTTTGTTGTTACTGTTGTTGTTTTTGAAACAGAGTCTCACTCTATCGCCCAGGCCAGCATGCAGTGGCAGGATCTTGGCTCACTGCAGCCTCCACCTCCCAGGTTCAAGTGATTCTCCTGCCTCAGCCTCCTGAGTAGCTGGGATTACAGGCACTCACCACTATGTCCCGCTAATTTTTGCATTTTTAGTAGAGATAGGGTTTCACCATGCTGGCCAGGCTGGTCTTAAACTCCTGACCTCTGGTGATCTGCCTGTCTCAGCCTCCCAGAGTTCTGGGATTACAGGCACAAGCCACCACACCCAGCCCCTAGGTACTATACTTTGAAATTCACTCTTCTACCAAATGCACATCCTTAAAGATGTTGTCTAAGTCCATTAGGGCTACCATAACAAAATACCTTAGACAAGGTGACTTATAAACAACAGAAATTTGTTGTTTATAAGGCTGAGAAGTTCAGGATCTGAGAAGGCTGAGAAGTTCAGGATCAAGCCACCAGCAAAGTAAATGTCTGGTGAGGATCCAGTTTCTGGTTAACAGATAACACCCTCTCACTATGTCTTCTCATGGTAGGAGGACAAACAGGCTCCCCAGGGCCTCTTATATAAGGGCACTAATCCCAGTCAGGAAGGCCCCAACCTAAAGGTTCTACTTCTTAATACTAATGCATTGGAAATTAGGTTTCAACTTATGAGTCTAGGGAGACACAAACATTCATATCATAGCAGATACAAATAGATCCTATTTCCACTTCTCTTTATAATCAATCAATAAAATGTTGCTTCCTCTAATAGGAGCCATTTAGAGAAGCCCTAAGGCCAGAGAAAGGAAGCACACATGGCCAAAAGTGGGCATTAGGTATGGGGGCACAAGACTTGGCCAACAGGTCCCTTCGTCAGTCAGCTGATAGCACTCTCTACCTTGGGGCTTTTAACTTTCTTAGAGTCGTAATTAATGCTTTTATTCCTTGTCTTAATTTTATATTGCTTATTCCTTGTTTCTCACACAAGCCCCACAAAGTTGAGATTACTAACTCATCTGACAGATATGGTGCCTGAGTTTTAAGCTGCTTAAGCAATGTAACTATGTTTACCCAGCTAGTATCAGACACTAAGTGTCAGAGCTGGGATTCAGACTTGCAACTGCATCAGTCTGACCCCAGTGTATCTGTCCATACCCTTGTACTTTATAGTATTACTGACCCCAGTGAATCTGTCCATACCCTTGTACTTGATAGTACTATACATATAGTATTATATATACTATATATTATGTACATATAAATATAGTAGTACTATATATATGCAAAACTATATATATGTATAGTTATACATACATTATTTAGATTTATATGTTTATTTGATGCCCCTACTACTGTAGGGAACCTGAAGGTCATACCTCTATTCTGTATTGCTAGCTCCTTGCTCAATGCTAGGTACGTAACAGGTGCTCCTTCATTCAGTATTTCTGAATTCCTTCTACGTGCCAGATACTGCCTTAATAAAACCAGAGAAGGAAAGAAACTCAGGTCACTACTTGGGGAAAGACTGACAATAGCCATAATAGCAAAGTCACACATCATGTTACCAGATGAAAAGTGCTGTGTGCAAAAATTAGAGCAGGGTCAGAGGGGCCTGAATGGACAAATGAATGGACGAATTATTATTAATTCCTAGAAAATTCACCTTCCAAATAGGAGTGTCCCTTTTATATTTCTACGGACATAGGAAAGACACTCAGATTAGGTTACAAATTGAGTTTCCCTTCTCCCTATGAAAACACAGCTTGAGACTTTTTCTCAAGTCACTTTGAGTAATTACTTTCATATTTTCAATTCTGCTCTGTCTCTATCTTATTTTTGTTATATGCCAAGTGTTATTTTTTAAATTGTTTATACTTACACTAACTTCCTCTTTCATATGTCCAAGATTTCAGCAAACATTTCATTTTCCCCTACCTTGCCTTCCAACTCCTTTTATCCAAAACAATCTCACTGTTTCTTCTAGAATGCCTAAGATCTCAATACGGGTTTACTAAATCAATCACTGTTTCCATTGTACCTCTGGGAATGCGACATGTTATTGTTAATGGTACATATGACAATTTCTCTCACATGAACAGTGGCTTTTTAGGAAACAGCGATGATCTAAAGGACAAAGAAGTTGATTCTACAGAAAACCATGAGAATCTACAAATTCCACCGTTTAAACAGGTCAGCTTCACCTGTTATGATTAGAGTTAACAGAGAAATGGATATCAACAGGTGAGCAGTCTCTTCTCTTCTGTTTGACATTCTCCTCTGTGGTTTTCCAACATGTGAACTAGCTCCTTTCATTTATTCAAATTTTAATACACATTCTCTTTACATCTTTCCATCAGGTTTCCAGGAAATAAGTCTGGTGATGCAATCACAAAAGATGATACCTCACTTTAAATCTGATGACTTCAAAGTAGGCCTGAGATGACTACCCTCAAATAGGTTGATTTTGGCATCAGTAACACTACAGGTAAAAGCGTGCATTAAAACTGAAGCCACAGCCTGCACATTTGCTTCTGTAGTCCAGCATTTAGCTTGTCTGCTGAAGAACGGTTTTAAAAATATCCCAGAGAAGATGACACCACTTATACTCTTTGACAAATGAATTGGGAGATGAACAGACATTGAAAAGAATATAGGAAATGTATCACATTGTTTAAAAATAAAGTCAAAAACATCCTTTAGAAGCTTCAGAAACAAAAGCAGTAGTGTATAAAAAAAAAGTCCTCATTCTCATTCAGCAACTATGACCGAGCGCCCACTCTGCGCAATGAGATCTATGAAGCATTCAGTCATCCGAGTTACAAGCGTGCGACGCCCAAGCAACATCTTCCACCTGTCCCCTGCTGCAGCATCCTCAGCCTCGGCCCTCTCCTCTGCCTCCGCGGTCTCTGTCATCAGCATCGTCTGCTCCATCCTCGCTCTCCCAGTTCACACCCTTCACTTCTAATCAGCACTCTGGCTATAGCCTGTTCTAAATTCTACCCACCTCTGACATGCTGGGTCATGCAAAAACATTCAGGAGTAGGTCATTTCTAGTCCAACCAATGTCCGACTAATTTATCGTCGTATGGAGGAACCTCCTCCACTTTTGTGGGGTAAACAGTTCCCGTGCCTTTCCTCAAACTCCTTTACAGGGTATTCTCAGCGTTTTCTTCTCTTGAATTCTTAGGAAGTGAACATAATTATGGGACCAGAATGGACAGCTAGATGTACACCTGGAGTTATGTTAAATTGTGAACTGTTGCTTTAAAAATGGGCTGGCCTTGATGTCGCTGCTCCAGTGAGAACCGAAGCAGGGGCGGCGGCAGCAAAGCGCCTGTTCCCTGAAAAGCAGACCTCAGAACAGGAGGAACGCAGCCTGGGCCTGCAGGTGGGCATGTGGGTAAGGAAGCCATTGACGCCGCCGCCGCCGCACTCCTCAAAGGAAGAGCTTAACAGGCCAGTCGGGAGGGGTGTGTGCCAGTGGGTAGATGCTACCGGGAGGGAGAGCAGGAAATTCAGGGTAGGCTGAGTGCCGTAACTAACAGGAATAAGTTCAGAGTTCAGAGAAACTTTCTTACTGAGTTTGGGCCCAGGCATGACATTCCATTCTCCTCTATCACCATTCCAAAACAAGAGATCACCTCTCCCTCTCCCTCCACGGGGATTTCAGATGTATCTGAGAGAGTGGCTACACTCAGATAAACGAAGTACAATAAAATAAAGCCTGCCACTGTAGCTCTGAGAATGTGGCATGTTGTTATTAATGGTACATGTGACCATTTCTCATACGAACAGCAACATTTTAGGCAACAGTGATAATCTAAAGGACAAAGAAGTTGACTCTACAGAAAACCACGAGAATCTACAAATTCCATCCTTTAAGCAGGTCAGCTTCACCTGTTATGATTAGAGTTAACAGAGAAACGGATATCAACAGGTGAGCAGCTCAAAGCCCAACAGGGAAGTCACTGTTGTGACTCATTCATGGTTGCCCACGTCAAATCAGTGTGTCACTTCCCACCCTTAAGGGTGTTTTTCCTAATCAGGAAGCTTCTTTCTGGAGGTGGGGGAGCTCTTGAATATAAAATCTTTCTCCTTTCCACATGTCGTCTATTTTTCTAATACACTGGGTGCAGCTCAGATGACATGTGTGGGATCCTGGGCTGTGAAAACTGGTTTTCAGAGGCCCTTGAACTCCAAGGGCTCTGAGTTAAGGGTAAAATCCAACTACAGAGGAGTGAAGTTTTCTTGACAAGAAAGGAGTTGGATGGGCCTGTCTCTGCCTCTTGTCAGCCGCAGATCACGTGGGGACACTAGTGAACTGGGGGTGAGTGGGAAGAACCAGCTTCCCAAGCCCCAACAAAAAAAAATGCCAATTAAGGAAGCACCTCTGCAAAAGAGACTCTTTTTACCAACGGAAGCAAATCCAGACTAGCAAATTAGACCTTGCTGGGGAGCAGCAGGGAAGATGATCCAAAAGACCAAGGCACAGAGAAACCCTTATTTATTTTATTTTTGTTTTAGAAAAACACCCAGGGGAGAGGTGAATACTCTTTGACAACAGCTGCCAAGAATAACAAGACTCAGAAGAAATTAGGAGGCAGCAGCTATAAATATACAGCATAAGAGGAAATGCAGCCCACAATTTTAAGGGGAAATGGGGCCTACTGCACTCAAAGACCAACAGTAAAATTCATTTAAAGGCACGGGGCATCCCACTGGAGGACTGAGAGGAGTTTCACAGGCTTATCTTTCATGTCAATCAGAAAAATATATACTTGATAAAATATTTTTCTTAAGTTAGTTAAAAAGTGGCTGTCATTAGTATCAACTTTGGGGGCACCAAAAATTGCTTTATGACTCATGCATTAATTTAACAAATTGTCAGTAAGAACATACTATGTAATGTGCCAGTTGCTAGACATTGAAAAGCCAATAAGAAATGTCTTTCATTCTTGAACGCTAAGAGCTCACAGCCTCATAAAGATCAAAGTATTTAAATTTTTCCATCATGCATCTCTTGAGTTTCCCAACTAATCAGTTAAAACAGTGAGCCCAAGTTTCTTGGTCAGTGATAATGAGCCTTTTTGGAGAGACACATTATATAGTAGTAATTCCATGGATTTGAATTCCCTCTGTGCCATGCAGTGGTTGAATGACCTTTAACAGAGTTTCTCGACCTCAGTACTGTTGACATTTGGGGCTAGATATGGAGACACGGGACTTCCCTGTCAAAGGGGCCATCTTGTGCACTGTAGGGTTCAGCAGCATCCCTGGTCTCCACCTCCCAAATGCCAGGAGTACCTCCCACTTTTGACAAGAAAAAGTGTCTCCAGACTTTGTCAAATGGCCCCCCGTTAACTGCACTGTGCACAAAATTTTTAAAAAATCAAGAAACTAACGTTGCTTCCTTTTACTTTCCATGGCCCTCTGTAAAAAGAGGAGTTGAACGAATTATTACAGTAGTCCGTGATTTTAAACCCTTAAACGTAGTGTGTTGCCGGGGAAAAATCATGGCTTTAGATTCCGTTCCAATTCCATCCATTTCTGGTTGTTAGCTTTGGGTGAATTCCTTCATCTTATTGAGGCCTGGACTCCTGTGCAAACGTAGGAATGGCAGGGGGACTTAAAGGGTGTATGCTAGAGTGCCCAGCATACAGGAGATGCTCCACAATTCAGGGCTAAGCTATTGCAGCAACTCTCAAAAACTAGTCTTTCTGATCTAATCTGATGATTGCATATTCCTATTGATAAATGTATCCATGAGAAAGATAAAACAGCTGCTCTAACAGCTGTCTGAAAATGTCAAAATGAATAACAAAATTAAAGTTTTCTCTTGCTATACGAAGTCTGGTATAGATGTTCCTCACAGGCTCTGCTCCAAACAGTGTGAGGAATCCAGGCTCCCTCCATTGCCAACATGGCCATTCATGGTCTCTAAGCCACCACATGTGTGCCAGGTGCACAGACACCCCACTGTGGCCTGAAGGGGACACATTCTGTGCTCTCATGTCCCAGCAGCCGGGAGAGTCACATGATGCCACCTGCACACAGGAAACTTGTGGAGTGCAAATAGTCCTCTCTGCGAATTAGGCACTAAAAATAAAAATAAAATTATAATGCTGGCTTTGTTACAAACAGTTTATAGTATAAGGGGAAACATAAGGAGAAAAAACATAAGATATAAATATTAAGTGATGTATAAGCTTCCACTTAGGTTGTCAAATAAGATTGAATTATAAGCCCCTTAAGAGATAATTGAAAATGCACTACCAGCAACTCTAGAGCAGGCAGGCGAGTGCTCTGAGGGTTTTCCAAGAAAGCCAAAGATAACATCTAAGGAAGCTTCCTCTGTCCTCCAGTAAAGCTTCTCAAGACAGCTGACCTCATCTTCAATCACTCTAGAAATTCACAATGGGATAATCTTTAATAAGAAACTGATCTGAATACAAAATTAGAAATAATAAAAATACATAGGTGATAAGTTGCTTTAGGGATATGTACAAATGATTAGATATATGCCATTTTTAGAAATGAAGGTTATAAAATGCCACTGATAAAATAATTTTGGTGACTGTATCAGTTTTCTATCACTGCCATAACCAAATACCACAAAATTATTAGCTTCAAACAATACAATGTATTATCTTACAGTTTGGGAGATCAGAAGTCTGAAGTGGGTTTCCTACACTAAAAGCAAAGTATCAGCACAGCTGCATTCTTTCCAGAGGCTCCAGGAGGGAATCCACTTCTGTGTCTTTTCCAGCTTCCAGAGGCTACCCGCACTGCCTGGCTCATGGTCTCTTCCTCCATTGCCAAAGCCAGAAGGAGCACCTTCTCTTTCTGACTCGGCCTCTCTCTGCTTCTGCTGTCACCTAGCCTTCTCCTCATACTGACCTTCTGCATCCTCTTAGAGGGACCCTCAGACTACATTGGTCCCCTCCAGAAAGTGCAGCAGCATCCCTTATCTCAAGATCCTAAACTGAGTCCCATCTGGAAAAGCTCTTTTACCATGTAAGATAACATATTCATGGGTTCTGGGACTTAGATGTGGGCATCTTTGCAGGTCCACTACACAGCCTGCATCAGTGAGTGATGTACAGAATATTATTATTGCTGCAACTCATCTGTATATTAAACATAGGCACATTGCACAATTTCCTCAAGTTTAATTAAACAGTAAATGATGGCAATGTTTATGATGATGCTGACCTTTGTACCTTTAGAATAGCGGAATATGAAGAACTTAATCTTCATAATCTTTCAGAAGGGCCCAGATGCAAGTAGTCAAGACGAGTGGGTTGGCTACAGAGACAATCATCAAACCTAGACAAAATATTTAAAAGGCAGGCAATAACTGGAGGATTTTTTCAAGACATCCAAAGATGGCATGTAAAAGATAGTAACCCATGCCTGAAATATGGGAAAGCAATGGAAAGGTTTATGAGTTTGCAGCTTTTTGCTAAAGGGCATTCTCCCATCCACATGTGGCTCTGGAAAGAGCATCAAGAAAGTTAGGGTAAAATCCTGAAAGAGAGGGAGCCACTGAAGAGGAAGCACTAAAACATGCACATAAATTCTGCCCAACTCATTGGTGGACTGCTAAATACACAGGTGCAGTGGGAGATGCTCCATGGAGCCCAACAAAATGAAGCAGCAAGAAAGTGAAGAACTGAGGGTTAATTTCAGCTGCTGCCAACTGCAGAAGAGCCAGAGGGTGGAGTCTGAGTTCAGAGGAGCTCACTGCCTCCTAAAACAAGCTCAGCACACTTCAAGGGGACAAAAACCCAGAGTCTCCACAATGTGTCACATGTGTTCAAATTACAATCCAAAATCACTAGGCATAGGAAGAAACAAGAAAATAGGACCAAAAATCAAGCAAAATAAGTCAATAGAAATTAAACCCAGAAGGATGCAGATGTTGAGCAAAGTCTCTAGAGCAGGTATTATAAATATGTTTAAGGATTTATAGGAAAATATTTGAGAATGAATGAATGAGGAAACCAAATGGAAACTCTAAAGTGAAAAGCACAATATCTGATAGGAGATTTTTAGTCATGTGGCTTAACAACAGACTGAGTGACAGAAAAAAGAATAAGTGAACTTGAAGATTGAACAGTAATAACACACTCTGAAGGACAGAGAGAATCAGAGCTATATTAACAATGACAAAAAATAAGCACAGTCTTAGTAAACTGTGGGAAAATGTCAAGCACCCTAACATATGTGCTGTTGCCACCCAAGAAAGAGAAGAAAGATACAATGAGTAAGAAAATAAAATATTCAAAGAAACAATGGCTGAAAAAAAACTCCCAATATAGTGATACCCATAATCCAATAAGTCGAAAAACTCATTGAAATCTAAGCAAGTAAGAAGAAAACCACAACTGTCCCCATCATAATTATTGCTAAACTATAAATTTGCTAAAGCCAAAGTTAAAAAGAAAATCTTGTGTTTACCTACAGAGAAACAACACTTTTCATTTAGAGAAAAGAATGAGAGGAGTATCAGATGACTTCTCATCATAAATGATGTAGGGCAGAAGACAATGGAACATAGTTTTAAGGACAAAAATGAATCTATAGCTAATGGAAAATATCCTGGAAAATGAGGTTGCAAACAACACATCAGATTTTTTTAAACTGAGATTATTCACCAATAAACCTGAACTTGGAAATTCCTAAAAGGAAGTTCTTCAGGCCTAAAATAAATGACATCAGGAAGATGGTAATATGGATCTACATAAAGGAATAAAGAGCACCAGAATTGGAAAATATTTCAGCAAATATAAAAGATTGCAAATAGGCTTTCTTTTTTCCATAATTTATTTAGAAGACATATTACTGCTTAAAGCAATACTTATAACAGTGTATATGGGGTTAATAATGTTTGCACAGATTATATGTAGATACAGAACACCAACACAAAAGCTGCATTGGAGATGCCTGACCAGTGCAATTCAAGAAAAGGAAGTAGCATATGGAAAGAGAGAAGTCCAACAGTCTTTATTTACTGCTATTGTAATTGTCTATATAGAAAAACTTTAAAAAAAGTTTTTTTTCTACTCAGTATGGTATTTAAAAGGAATTAATGTTCAACATTTCAGAAGCCACTCCATATCACTAAAGATATTCTACATTTTCCTGGCCCTAGTCCATGGAGATCAAGCTTTATTGTCAGGCCATGCCTTTCCCAGATGACTTTATAAAATCTGCTCACAAGAAGAAGAGGTTGCAGCAATTAGCCATTTGCTCTGCTTAATCTAAAGCAAAGCTCCTCTAAACTACCGGAAGACAGGGTCGCTGTTACCATAATCTGCTAGTAATCATTTGACATGACAGCTTGCAACATGTAGGTTAATGGGCTCAGTAAAGAAAGAAAATGTGATGAACCTTTCTTACAGTTCTGGCTGATTAAAGAGATGCCAGAGGACATGAAGGAGAAAAAATTCCCTCCTCTCAGCAAAGCTGTTTCTGTACATCATTCATTCAGATAGGCTCTAGAAGTACCCAGGCCATCACTGAGGAGCGCTCACAACAAAACTCATCCTTCAAGAGAGACATAGATAGTGGCCTCAGATTTCCAGCTCACTTACCTATGCCATCACTAAAAAAATCCATAAGGAACATGGATTGGAATTCGGGTAAAACCAGAAGCCACTGTCAGGTCACCTTCAGGCGATGGCTGTGTGACCTTAACAATGACCACTAAGGTTTGGCCTGATCTATTCAGTCTGAAGAACTATAGTCTTCATTAGAAAATACACTGAGTCACTAAGCTGGCTTATTTTTCTTTATTTACTGCTATTGTAATTGTCTATGTAGAAAAACTTAAAGTATCTTCAATTAAGAGGTCATATACAAAATGAAATTGTATTTCTCATTCCAGCAAAATAAAGAAAATAAAATTTTTAATATTAATGTACAGTAGACTCAAAATAATAAACTACTTAGATATAAATTTAACAAAAATGAACAAGTTTTTTTATTTAAATAAAGTAGCATAATATCAACTCTAAGTAGACAGTAATAAAGATGTATAGGGTCATACATGAAACAAACACTTTAAAAAGTACAAAAAGAAAATAAAATATGTTTAAACAGAATGAAAAACATATTTGATTCATCCAAAATCTTGTGAGGAAAAAACGATTTGGAAAACAAAAATTAGATGAGACCCTCCACAGAAAAATGTAAATAGCAATATGATAGACCTTAACAAACCATATCAATGATCGCATTAGATGAAAACTGATAACACACCAAATAGAATAAAGGAGAATGAAATGGATACAGCTAAGTTGCAATTCATTCAGGGCTCAACATGAACCCGTTCTGTGAAAATGCTTCAACGCAGAGTTGCATGCGTTGAGATCGTTTTATGCAGCATCGACACTGTTTAAAGGATTTCATTAAATAATGTAACATTCAGAAATTTTTAGTCTTTATTGTGGGTTCAGTCTATTATTTAATAGACAGCACAATATTAAAAAGAGTTGAAGTTCTCCCACTTCTATTCACAATTTTAAATCCAAAGTGTGAGCGGAACGAGAGCAAAAAGAAGCCTCCAGAAAGCACCGAACTGATGTAACCACAGTAGAGAAGGGCCAGCTGCACCGCTCCTCACAGAGTCACTGGCCTCTCATTAAAGTTGAAAGTTTATTATCCATCTTTGGAAATGAACACTAGAGCCAGAAAACGGCATAAGTGCCATTATACAACATGTGGATAATAGAAATGTTTAAAATGATAAATGTGGAGAAGACGACAAACTTTTGGGTCCTGATAACATGCATCAGAATGTTAGAGAAGGGAAAAAGTTAACCACTGGCTCCCTCAATGACATTTTGAAAAGTTCAGTAGATTCATGAGGGATTAAAGGGAGGAAAACATGACTCCATTATTTTTAAAAGGGCAAAACTATAAAGCAAAGGTCTCTAGGCCAGCAAGTGTAACAACAGCCACCAAATGAACTTGGCAAAGTCTGTGAAAGACAGTTAGAAGAACCCCTGGCAAAACAAAGTTGAAGATGACTGGGCAGGAGAGACCATGCTGAGATAACCTGGAGGAACTTTTGAAGTCATTATCGCTGTGAAGAATAATAACACTGCATTTTCAAAGTAGCATTTGACAAACGTTCAACTTCACGGATTCCAAGGTGAGCAAAGGAAAGCATCAGCTACAGGATCAGACAGCTGATTTGTAAAGTCTAAAGAGTAACTGCTTAGAAGCATGCTTCAACTCCCCATAACTTGAATTCTGGGACACAGGATATTTTTAAGCTTCCCATGAAGCCAGAGACACAAGTTGAGAACCAGAAACATTTCCTGGTAACCTACGATTACTTGTTCAAGATAAGCAACACTTAATGAGGAGAGAAGGCAAGTAGCACAACCAAGCGCTGCTTGGGAATTCAAAATAAAACTCTACTTAACCATAGAAGGTAATTGAAACACTGTTAATCCACGGAAGGCTGCCAGGAGTCTCTTATGCTGGTAGTCAAAGAGCCTGGGATAAAGACCAATACACCACCACCACCACAACCACACACAGCATTTCATTATCCACACGACAACCCTGCAATTTCTACCACACCCCACACCGATAAAATCTCCTTTTCTCCAGTTCAGCAATACAGCAAGATTTAAGGGCATAGTCAACTAGACTCAGTATCATCTGAGACCTTTTTCACATCAGTCTAATTTCTAATTGCGTCTAAGGAAAAAATAATATCCTCATGCTAAACAATGTTACTACCCTTAGGAAATTCCAGACACCCCACTTTAAGTTGCAGAACGTATTGCCATAGCTCAGTTCTCCACTTTGCATTATAATGATTGCAGCATTCACTGAGCATTTACTATGTATCAGGACACAGTCATTCACTTATAGTTTATGCAATCCTGCAAAGATGGTGTTATTACTGCCTTATACAATGAGAAAACTAAGCCACTCCGCAATTAAAATCTTCACACAAAATATTACAATATTTTGTTCTAATTTATTCAGCAATAATCCCCAACTGTGGTCTGTATTGAACACTGTGTTCAATTTTGAATCTACCAAAACAAAAAACCTAAATAAGGTAGTTGAGCTCCTGAAACTTGCAATCTAGAAAAGCTTGCAAAAGGCAAACAAACACTAGCTATATGGCCAAGGACAACTTTTTTTAAGAAATTGACAAATATTATAATTGTACATATTCATGGAGTACATAGTGATATTTTGATACATATAATATATAGTGATCAGATGAGGGTAATTAGCATATCCATCATCATCATTGAGCATGTTGGGAACGGTCAATATCCTCCTTCTAGCTTTTGGAACTGTATATTATTGTTAACTGTAGTCATCCTGCAGTGCTACAGAACACTAAGACTTGTCCTCCCATCTGGCTGTAATTGTGTATCCTTCAACAAATCTCTCCCTTTTTCACCTTTCCAACTTCCCTTCCCAGTCTAAGGTTTCCTCTGTTCTTCTTTTTACTTTTATGATATCACCTTTTTTTTTTTTTTTAGCTCTGGAACAACTTTTTAACTTTTCTGAGCCTCCTTTCTTCATCTTTAAAAATAACGCAATAACAATAACATTATCTGTGCCTTCTTTATTCATTTCTAAAAAGAAGATAATAACTACCTCATCAACTTGAAAAGAAGATTAAATAAGCTAATGTATAAACACTAAAATATCACCTGTTTTTTAGTGTTCAATAAATATTAGATGGTAGTAATAATAGTAAAAGCAGCAAGATTACAGTAGCAGCAAAAGCATCAATACTAGTAGAAGCTGTAGCATCAGCTATAATAGTAGTAGTAGTAGCAGTAATAATAAAAGTACTACTAGTAGTCGAAGCTGCTAGCAGCAGCAGTAACAGTAGTACTAGTAATAGTAGTGAGAGCCGTAGTAGTAGAAGTACAAGCTTCAGCAGCAGTAGTAACTGTAGTAATAGTAATAGAAGCTGCAGCATAAGGGTAAGCATCAAATGCAATGAAAATCCATAAGGAAAACACCTCAAGCCCAGAATTAGGAAGATTAGAGAAGATGTCCCAGACAAAGTGAAATGTAAGGTGATGGCTGAAACGTGAGTAGGATTTGCCAGGAGATGAAGGGGCATTGATGGGAGGGGAGGGGAAGTGCACACCACATAGAGAAGCTGGCAAATGTCCAGAGTGGCTCACAAGTGAAGGGTGCAAAGGAGAATCAGAGGCCAGGCCAGAAAGATCTTGGTGTCCAAGTTAGAGGTGGTCCTCTTTCAAGGGTAGCTGCTGTCATAATGAGAATTACCAAAGGGAAGAAGAAAGGGTTCTTATTATTTTAAAGCTCCTAGAGGACACCAAATAACACACTTTGCATTGCATTATTTCATTTAAGCAGCTTGCCTAGTTTTACCTACTCTGTCATATAATCCCCTAACTGCAAAAGTGAAAAACAGGGTAGCAGGCAATCCCTAAGATGTCCCCCATGATCTACACCTCCTGATACTCGCAACTTTGTAAAATCCCCCTGGGCTTACTACTTCTCACCAACAAAATGTGACAAACTTGAGGGAACCTCTGTTCCTTAATTTGGTTACAAAAGATTGTGACTTCCATCTTGCTGGCTGATGTGCTGTCTTTTGAGCTTTGAAGAGGCGGCTTCCCACTTTGAAGAATCCTGCATGACAATGAACTGAGGGTGCCTTCTGGTCAACAGCCAGGGACAAACTGAGGCCCGTGGTCCAGCAGCTCTAGGGGAACCAAGGCCTTGGAACTGAGCATGCAAGCAGCTCTTTCCCTAATTGAGCATTCAGATGAAACCACAGCCCTGCTCAACACCTCACTGCAGCATCATGGAAGAGCATGAAGCAGAGGCCTTGTTATGCCACTTCCAGACTTCTGAGACACAGAAACCATGAGATTGTCAATACGTGCTATTTTACGCCAATGTGTTTTGGAGTAATTTATTACACAGCAATAGATAACTAACATAAGTGACCTACCTAAGTCACATACCTTGAAATCTTATCTAAACTGAGATTAAATGAAGATAACGAAAGGATTAAAAATGACTGAATCTACCAATCTAATCTAAGAAATACCCTCCGCAAATTTAAACATAATTACATGCAACAAATGACAAAAGGTGTCCAGTAGGATTTTGATATTCACTTTCAATTCCATCCCAAATGAAGAATTTTTAAAAGTTATTTGCATATAAGAGTCTTTGTTCTGGTCCTTTCTGAATTCCTCCTTTCCATGTTGCTCAGATTCTGCATGGCTACCACCACCATGACACACTTTTCTTAAACCTGTTTCCTATGTCTGAACCTATTTCTATTTTGGAAAGAAAAAAGTCTCATTTTATGTACTAACTCTTTGCTAATAGAATTCCTAAGAAGGATTTGCTTTTCTCTCATAATGCTTGCAAAATGCCTGCCACTATTCATTGGTCCTCTGGGACTGCTGTGTTTGCTGCTATGGTCCTACTCACTAATGGAAACACTCAGACCTCCATGCCATCAGTCTTCATCCCTTTGCATTCTGAGCTGCCTGGCAAATTCTAGCAAAGGCTGATGAACTGGGTGGACTTTTTCCTGCTCACACCTCACAAGACCAACTGAGGTCTGAAGTTTTAAAGATTTCCCTTTCTCTATCTGTATCTTAACTATTCCCCAGCACTCCCTCGTCCATTTCTCTTACACACACACACACACACACACACACACACACACGCACACAGGAGATAAACATGGATGTTCCTGTGAACTGCCATTAACTATTCTCAGTGGGTATAATAGTTCAAGACTGGTACTGCTTAACCCAATACTATGTTGGCTAACTAGTATTATGGTAGAACCTTGGAAACAGGTTGTTAAGACCAGAGGTTTTACTGAAAACATTGGGGAACAACACAAAAGTACATGTGTACAGGTTAAATTGGGTGATGTAGCTCATAAGATCATTTTATTTGGGGGGAAAGAATCAGATATTATTGCCCTTGGTATTTCTTAACTTTCTTTACATGCATTTTACAAGTAAAAAGCATAATTGTTATTAAATAAAACATGGTTCAATTTTAAGTCAGCAAAACAAAAGCAGTATCAAGGGCTTTATTGTTGTCACTAAAAGTCGATCCCTGGTCCATCTTATTGCCAGGAATGTACAATAGTTTGATAGTCACTTTGTGCTTCTGAATAATATGGAAACTATGGATGTCCATACTTAAAATTCAAATACTTATTAGATTTCCAATCAATACAGGTTGATACATTTCTAATTTGAAGCAAATAAAAAGAGCCAAGTGAATTTTCTGCAGTTTTCAAACTTACAGTGAACATCTGCATGCTGTTTTTGCTCTGAAGGATCTAGAAATATTATCCAGTAAGCTTCATAATGTAGTGAATGACACTTTACTGGAATATTTTGTAAAATTGGTAATAAAAATAGCAAACATTCTGCTAGCACTTACTATGTGTTATGTAGTGCTCTAAGGGCTTTAGATATTTTAATTTGCTTAATCTTAGCAATAGCACTATGAGATTAAGGGCTATCCTTAACATTCCCACTTTGCAGGTGAAGAAATGGAAGCAGGGAGAAGTTAAGTAACTTGCCCAAGGTTAATAATTGGTAGGGCTTGGCTTTGAACTCAGGCAAGCTGGTTTAAAAATTGATGTGTTTAACAATGCTACTATAGTTTTTCTCAAGACTTACTAAGTCTTTTAACTGTATAATTCATTTTAGAGAAAGAGAAATGGAGGGAGGGAGGAAGGGTGAGAAGAATGGAGGGAGGGGATTACTAGGAATTATAATTTAAGAGATGCCAATTCCATCTGCTGGCTCAATTGCTAGATTCTGTGAGGACGTTCTTGTAGAAGGACCAAAGGCATTAAATAAACCTACACCTAAGGATAAAGTCAGTAAAATTTCAGGAGGCAGGAGGATAATATATTACTTGAGATAAACTGGGACCTAAAGGGAAAAAGAAAAGGAATCAAAATTTACAAAAGGAACCACATTGGCTTCAGTTATAGCCAATGGCCCAGGGTTCTATTGACATGACATTCATGGGTGAAAATGAGTGTCCCAAATCCCCAGTCACATGGAGGTAGTTCAAAATTTCCACATTCCCTGGATACCATCAACCAAGTTTCCAAATAGGCTAACCTAGAAACCAAGGGCCATCTTCTAAGGATGCTTCTTTTTGAGCATCTTCCATAAGATGATGTAACTGCAACAAGCTGTAAGAATAAACTAAAAAATGAATTTGCACAGTGACATATCTGGTAGCCAAAGGCCATGCTAAAGTGGTATTCTTATACCATGTTCTGGAATAAATCAACATTATAAATCTATACCACAATCAGCAAACAGTTACTATGGCCCCAAAGTAGAAGGCTTAATACAATAGCCATTTAGTGGGAACTTTACCAAAGTCAACATAGGAAAAACAAAACAAAACAAAAGCAAACAAGAAAATAACAGTCTGTGGCTCTGACAGAAAGCCAAAAAAAGTTGTGTCAGTAAAGGAAAAATAAAGTAAACCAAAATCACTCAGTAAATAATATGGTTTATGTATGCCAGTAAAATGTTTACAAGAATCAATATCTGCTTGGCTTTGGCTCGATTCAGAAGAAGGAACTTAAAGAAATGTGTAATTATAACCAGAAGATTTCATCAGAAAAAGGTATTTTAATTGACTTGGCCAAAAGAAACAACCTTATTTTAAAATTAACAATTATTTCTCATGAGATGTAAAATAATCACTCTTCAGACATTCATAAAGAGCCTTTTTCTTGGTATCTCTTGGTACGTTTTCACTTACTTTATCTTAATTTTTACTTAACCACTTCACAGAAAAAAGGAAGATGAGAATCAGCTTTACCATCAATAAAATGTAAATAATTTTGTTTTATAAAACCATTGTAGAAAGGAAATAGAACAATGTTAATGAAAACCTTTGGCATTTATTTATGTGATACTCAGCAGCTATTCATGCCCTCGGCTGTTCATTCATTCATTCCTAGATTACAGATGAAGCAACTAAAGACAAAAGAGATTGAATAACTTACCGAAGTTCTCATATGTATTTTTAAAATTCATCTTTCTCTTTATATGCATGGTGACTCTTTGACCTGAAATTCCTATTTCACATTTGAGTAAAAAAAAAAAATGCATACTCTCTAATATGATCTGCAGCAAATATTATGTGAATTACATGTTTACAAAACACAAACTCTTTTCCAGAATAGAATAGTTACACAAAAGGTTGTTTCATTAGATGCATTTTGGAAGTTTTAAAATGCACCTTTAATCAAAAAGCTGTTAGACAATAATTTAAACCAATCTCTTTGGTTATTTAAGGAAAATTAGAATGGGTGATATTGTTTAATTCTGTAAAACAGCATTCAATTTCTATTGCAGTGTATAACAAACGCTCTATAGGCTTTTGTGTTTTGTAGCTAGTAGTATTCTACAAAGTTCTATCTTGCACAGATGGCATGATATAAAACTGCTAGCTCATTATTTATTTCAAAATATTTCAGTAGAAATAACAGAAAACACATCTCCATTTTAAGAATGTCCTAGGGCAGAAAGAGAATAACAACATCTAAGATTTTAACTTCAAATACAACTTTTGATAAGGGACATTTTAGAAATAATCACAAACACATCAGTTATTCAGACAATAAGATTTCAAAGCATTTACAATAAATGGCCCTCCTTAGGAATTCTGCTGGCAAAGACATAGTACATAAAATTAGACTTTTTTCTTTCCAAAGTAGAAATAGGTTCAGACACAGGAAACAGGTTTAAGAAAACCCTGTCGTGGTGGTGGTAGCCACACAGAATCTGAGCAACATGGAAAGGAGGAATTCAGAGAGGACCAGAACAAAGACTCTTATATGCAAATAATTTTTAAAAATTCTTTGTTTGGGATGGAATTGAAAGTCAATATCAAAAGCCTATTGGACACCTTTTGTCATTTGTTGCATGTAATTGTGTTTAAATTTGCTGAGGGTATTTCTTAGATTAGATTGGTAGATTCAGTCATTTTGAATCCTTTCATTATCTTCATTTAATCTCAGTTTAGATAACATTTTAAGGTATGTGACTTAGGTAGGTCACTTATGTTAGTTATCTATTGCTGTGTAATAAATTACTCCAAAACGCAGTGGCCTAAAACAGCACGCATTGACAATCTCATGGTTTCTGTGTCTCAGAAGTCTGGAAGTGGCATAACAAGGCCTCTGCTTCATGCTCTTCCATGATGCTGCAGTGAGGTGTTGAGCAGGGCTGTGGTTTCATCTGAATGCTCAATTAGGGAAAGAGCTGCTTGCATGCTCAGTTCCAAGGCCTTGGTTCCTCTAGGGCTGTTGGACAAAGGACCTCAGTTTGTCCCTGGCTGTTGACCAGAATCCACCCTCAGTTCGTCTTGAAGCCACATTGGAATGAAACTAGAAATTATCAGCAGAAAGAACTGAAAACTTCACAAATATATAAAAGTTAAACAACCCAGTTTTGAACAAACAAATGGGTTAGAGAATAAATTAAAAGAAAAATTAGAAAATATCTTGAGACAAATGAAAATGAAAATAAAACATACCAAAATTTATGGGACACGGCAAAAACCGTACTAAGAGGGAAGTTTGTGGCAACAAATGCCTACATTTAAAAGAAGAATGATCTTAAATAAACAGCCTAACTATACATCGCAAGGAACTAGAAAAGGACCAAACTAAGGCAGTTATTATTCATTATGTATAAGGAATTCCTACCAATCAATAGCAAGACATCTAATAACCTGGTTAAAAGGAGGCTAGGAACTTGCACAGACATTTCTCCAAAGAAGACAAACCATTGCCCAAAAGCCATATGAAGGTATGGTCAATGTCACTAATAATCAGAGAAATGCAATCAAAACCACAATGCAATATCACCTTATACCTGTTAGGATAGCTATTGTCAACAAAACGAAAGACAAGTGTTCATGAAGACTGGAGACACTGGAACTCTTTCATACTATTGGTGGCAACACAAAATGGTGCAGCAGCAATGGAAAACCATATGAAGCTTCCTTAAAATTTTAAAAATAAGACTGCCACATGATGCCACAAACCCATTTCTGGGTATTTATCCAAAAGAATTGAAATCAAGATCTCAGAGATATTAGCATTCCCATGTTGATTGCAGCATTATTTACAACTGCCAAGATGTGAAAATAATGTAAAATGTTTATTGCCAGATGAGTGGATACAGACAATGTGATATATATTCAATAGAATAGTATTCATCTTTTAAAAAAATCCTACAATATATGACAACATAGATGTTCCTTGAGGACATTATGCTAAGTGAAATAAAACAGTCATAGAAAGAAACATAGTGTATTATTCCACTTACATGAAGTATCTAAAACAGTCTAACTCATAGAAAACAAAGTAAAGGAAGATGGTCGAATAGGAACAGATCCAGTCTGCAGCTCCCAGCCAGATCAACACAGAAGAACCTGATGGAGCTGAAAAACACAGCAAGAGAACTTTGTGAAGCATACATAAGTATCAATAGCCAAATCAATAGAGAGGAAGAAAGGATATCAGAGATTAAATATCAACTTAATGAAATAAAACCTGAAGACAAGAGTAGAGAAAAAAGAATGAAAAGGAATGAACAAAGCCTACAAGAAATATGGGACTATGTGAAAAGACCAAACCTACGTTTGATTGGTGTACCTGAAAGTGGTGGGGAGAATGGAACCAAGGTGGAAAACACACTTCAGGATAATATCCAGAAGAACTTCCCCAAACTAGGAAGACAGGCCAACATTCAAATTCAGGAAATACAGAGAACAACAAAAAGAAACTCCTCGAGAAGAGCAACCCCAAGACACTTAATCGTCAGGTTCACCAAGGTGGAAATAAAGGAAAAAATGTTAACGGCAGCCAGAGAGAAAGGTCCGGCTACCCACAAAGCGAAGCCAATCAGACTAACAGCAGATCTCTCTGCAGAAACCCTACAAGCAGAAGAGAGTGGGGGCCAACATTCAACATTTTTAAAGAAAAGAATTTTTCAGTCCAGAATTTCACATCCAGCCAAACTAAGCTTCATAAGTGAAGGAGAAATAAAATCCTTTACAGACAAGTAAATGCTGAGGGATTTTGTCACCACCAGGCCTGCCTTACAAGAGCTCCTGAAGGAAGCACTAAATATGGAAAGGAAAATCCAGTACCAGCCACTGCAAAAACATACCAAAATATAAAGACCATTAACGCTGAAGAAATGGCATCAACTAATGGGCAAAATAACCAGCTAGCATCATAATGACAGGATTGAATTCACTCAAAACAATATTAACCTTAAATGTAAATGGGCTAAATGCCCCAATTAAAAGACAAAGACTGGCAAATTGAATAAACAGTCAAGACCCATCAGTGTGCTGTATTTGGGAGACCCATCTCATGTGCAAAGAAACACAAAGACTCAAAATAAATGGATAGAGGAAGATTTACCAAGCAAATGGAAAGCAAAAAACAGCAGAGTTTGCAACCCCAGTCTCTGATAAAACAGACTTTAAACTAACAAAGATAAAAAAAAAAGACAAAGAAGGGCATTACATGATGGTAAAGGGATCAATGCAACAAGAAGAGCTAACTATCATATATATATATATATATATATATATATATATATATATATATATGCACCCAATACAGAAGCACCCAGATTTATAAAGCATGTTCTTAGAGACCTACAAAAAGTACCACATGGCACTTATTCTAAAATTGACCACATAATTGGAAGTAAAATACTCCTCAGCAAATGGAAAAGAACAGAAATCATAACGGTCTCTCGGACCACAGTGCAATCAAATTAGAACTCAGGATTAAGAAACTCACTCAAAACCACACAACTACATGGAAACTGAATAACATGCTCCTGAATGACTACTGGGTAAATAATGAAATTAAGGCAAAAAAATAAGTTATTTGAAACCAGTGAGAACAAAGACACAACATATCAGAATCTCTGGGACACAGCTAAAGCAGTGTTTAGAGGGAAATTTATAGCACTACATGTCCACAGGAGAAAGCAGGAAAGATCCAAAATCAACACCCTAACATCACAATTAAAAGAACTAGAGAAGCAAGAGCAAGCAAACTGAAAAGCTAGCAGAAGGCAAGAAATAACTAAGATCAGAGCAGAACTGAAGGAGATAGAGGCAAGAAAAACTCTTCAAAAAATCAATGAATCCATGAGCTGGTTTTTTGAAAAGATTAACAAAATCAACTGCTAGCCAGACTAATAAAAAAGAAAAGAGAGAAGAATCACATAGACACAATAAAAAAAATGATAATGGGAATATCACCACTGGTCCCACAGAAATACAAACTGCCATCAAAGAATACTGTAAACACCTCTGTGCAAATGAACTAGAAAATCTAGAAGAAATGGATAAATTCCTGGACACATACACCCTCCCAAGACTAAACCAGGGAGAAGTCAAATCCCTGAAGAGACCAATAACAAGTTCTGAAATTGAGGCAGTAATTAATAGCCTACCAACCAAAAAAAGCCCAGGACCAAACAGATTCACAGCCGAATTCTACCAGAGGCACAAAGTGGAGCTAATAATATTCCTTCTGAAACTATTTCAAACAGTAGAAAAAGAGGGACTCCTCCCTAACTCATTTTATGAGGCCAGGATCATCCTGATACCAAAACCTGGCAGAAAAACAACAAAAAAAGAAAATTTCAGGCCAATATCCCTGATGAACATTGATGCGAAAATCCTCAATAAAATCCTGGCAAATCAAATCCAGCAGCACATTAAAAAGCTTATCCACCACGATCAAGTCGGCTTCATCCCTAGGATGCAAGGCTGGTTCAACATACACAAATCAATAAACATAATCCGTCACATAAACAGAACCAATGACAAAAACCACAAGATTATCTCAATAGATGCAGAAAAGGCCTTTGATAAAATTCAACACCCCTTCATGCTAAAAACACTCAGTAAACTAGATATCAATGGAACATATCTCAAAATAATAAGATTCTGGCCAGGGCAATCAGGAAAGAAAAAGAAATAAAGGTTATTCAAATGGAAAGAGAGGAAGTCAAATTATCTCTGTTTGCAGATGACATGATTGTATATTTAGAAAACCCCATTGTCTCAGCCCCAAAACTCCTTAAGCTGATAAGCAACTTCAGCAAAGTCTCAGGATACAAAGTCAATGTGCAAAAATCACAAGCATTCCTATACACCAATCATAGACAAACAGAGAGCCAAATCATGAGTGAACTACCATTCACATTTGCTTCAAAGAGAATAAAGCACCTAGGAATACAACTTACAAGGGATGTGAAGGACATCTTCAAGCAGAACTTCAAACCACTGCTCAATGAGATAAGAGAGGACAAAAATAAATGGAAAAACATTCCATGCTCATGGACAAGAAGAATCAATATTGTGAAAATGGCCATACTGCCCAAAGTAATTTACAGATTCAATGCTATTCCCATAAAGCTACCATTGACTTTCTTCGCAGAATTATAAAAAACTACTTTAAATTTCATGTGGAACCAAAAAAGAGCCCGTATAGCCAAGACAATCCTAAGCAAAAAGAACAAAGCTGGAGGCATCATGCTACCTGATTTAAAACTATACTACAAGGCTACAGTAACCAAATCAGCATGGTACTGGTAACAAACAGATATATAAATCAATGGAACAGAACAGAGGCCTCAGAAATAACACCACACATCTACAACCATCTGATATTTGACAAAACTGACAAAAACAAGTAATGGGGAAAGGATTCCCTATTTAATAAATGGTGTTGGTGAAATTGGCTAGCCATATTCAGAAAACTGAAACTGGACCCCTTCCTTACAGCTTATACAAAAATTAACTCAAGATGGTTTAAAGATTTAAACATAAGACCTAAAACCATAAAAACCCTAGAAGAAACCCTAGACAATACCATTCAGGACATAAGCATGGGCAAAGACTTCATGACTAAAACACCAAAAGCAATTGTAACAAAAGCCAAAATTGGCAAATGGGATCTAACTAAACTAAAGAGCTTCTGCACAGCAAAAGAAACTATCATCAGAGTGAACAGGCAACCTACAGAATGAGAGAAAATTTTGCAATCTATCCATTTTACAAAGGGCTAGTATCCAGAATCTACAAAGAACTTAAACTAATTTACAAGAAAAAAACAACCCCATCAAAAAGTGGGCAAAGGCTATGAACAGACACTTTTCAAAAGATGGCATTTATGCAGCCAACAAACGTATGAAAAAAAAAGCTCATCATCACTGGTCATTAGAGAAATGCAAATCAAAAGTGCAATGAGATACCATCTCACACCAGTTAGAATGGTGATCATTAAAAAGTCAGGAAACAACAGATGCTGGAGAGGATGTAGAGAAATAGGAATGCTTTTACACTGTTGATGGGAGTATAAATTAGCTCAACCATTGTGGAAGACAGTGCAGCTATTCCTCAAGGATCTAGAACTAGAAATACCATTTGACCCAGCAATCCCATTACTGGGTATATACCCAAAGGATTATAAATCCTGCTACTATAAAGACACATGCACACATATGTTTACTGCAGCACTATTCACAATAGCAAAGACTTGGAACAAACCCAAACGCCCATCAATAATAGACTGGAAAAAGAAAATGTGGCATATATACACCACGGAATACTATGCAGCCAGGAAAAAAGAATGAGTTCATGTCCTTTGCAGGGACATGGATGAAGCTGGAAACCATCATTCTCAGCTCACTAACACAGGAACAGAAAACTAAACAACACATGTTTTCACTCATAAGTGGGAGTTGAACAATGAGAACACATGGGCACAGGGAGGGGAACATCACACACTGGGGCCTGTCGGGGGTTGGGGAGCAAGGAGAGGAATAGCAAATAGCATTAGGAGAAATACCTAATGTAGATGACAGGTTGATGGATGCAGCAAGCCACCATGGCACATGTATACCTATGCAGCAAACCTATACATTCTGCACATGTATCCCAGACCTTAAAGCATAATAAAATAAATAAATTTTAAAAATAAATTAATTAAAGAAAAGAAATAATCTGAGTCAGTGCTCTTGCCTTTGCCAATAATACTGGGACATCTTTTGTAATAAAACAGAGGTGAGCTCTGAACTGAAAGAAGCATTTATTTATTTATTTATTTATTTATTTTATTTTTTTGAGACAGAGTTTCCCTCTTGTTGCCTAGGCTGGAGTGCAATGGCGCGATCTTGGCTCACCGCAACCTCCGCCTCTCAGGTTCAAGCGATTCTCCTGCCTCAGCCTCTCAAGTATGCCTGGCTAAGTTTGCATATTTAGTAGAGACGGGGTTTCTCCATGTTGGTCAGGCTGGTCTCGAACTCCCAACCTCAGGTGATCCACCTGCCTGGGCCTCCCAAAGTGCTGGGATTACAGGCATGAGCCACCGCGCCCAGCCAAAAGTGGCATTTATGAAAGTGAATTGCCCTGTACACTAAGAGGTAACTCTGGATCAGTAATGACCCCACACATACAGTGGATGAATACTAGTATTTTTAAGTTATGTCTCCCTAATTGTCCAGGTTGCCAGGCAAGGGTAGAAATGCATCCCATAAGTCCACATTGCTAGGCCAAGCCAGATTCTTACTAATAATTACACATTTTTTACGTGTACATTTACATACCTTCTTCTGCAACTATAAATCTTCAGAAATTATTTAGATGTCATTTCAATAGAACTTTGTTTCTACGGCTCATTTTGGTAGAACTGTAAAATAACCAAATATTTGGCAACACAAAGTGCTGTTGAAGGGAATTTCTTTTTAGTTTAGTATTTTTTTCTTCCTCATTCCTTCCTACATGCCTTGTCATTCTGCAGCCAGAAAAACCTTTCAAAATACGCCACTATTATGACATGCTTTACTCACCAGCTTAAGATCATGCATGGTACACAGTAGGTGCACATGTCTGTGCATACACACTCTCGCACACCTCTGCGATGTTGACAAGGAGTGGTGATCTTATTGCTGTGTCCCCGAGAAGTAAATAATAACTGCTTATGGAAGATAAAATGGTGGGACAGAGAAGCCAGGCAATACACCTACGGTGTAGCGCTGAAACGTGCTCTGAATCCTGATCCCTCCACTCCAAGTTCTGTATGCCTTCCGGGTCATGGTGGTGCTCTGCAGACTTCAGCTCAGGAACTCACGTGGACGCCAACATCCTGGAGCGCTGCCCTATCCACCAGCTGTTTCAATCCTCTGCTGCAGCCTACATAGCAATAAGGATGTCTCACAATTCCCCCACACGGCTTTTCATTCATCTAGATCAAGTCACTCTGTTTCACACCAAACCCTTTCGCACATACACAATTAGCTGTATTATTCTCCCACCAAATCTCACCCCTACAGACATCAGTCAGGAAGCATTTTCAGAGTACCTCCTGCAAGGTAAGCATTTCAGAGGAGATGCAAAGAGGGCTAGGCGGAGCTCCCTGCCTGCAATGAGCTTGCGATTGTGCAGCGCTGTCTTGGAATCTTTTCCACCTGTCCCAGCCCACGTGAGGTCCTCTGCTTCAGTTATCCTGTTATTCCTGATAGTTGTGGCAGAGCTAGTGCTTTAATTGCTCTTTAATGGTATGCTTTGTAGTTTGTATCTATTCCCTAAACTCGGTTGGGAAACTCCTTAATGGATCATATACCATTTAGGAAAGAATTTACCTAGGTTTCGGGGAATTAGATATATTCCCCGTCAGTGAAATGCCCAAATTTGGCAAGCTTACCTCTTTAAAAACCAAGGCCTTAAGAAAAATTAATTATGTGGGATGGAAATCTTTCTAAAACATTTTACACATGGAATGGGCTTAGGAAAGAGAACATTTGAAATATGTATTATCCTGTTTCTCCTGACTCAGGTCTTCATGAGCCTCAGCTGTCACATTCACGCATATGGTGATTTTCTTCCACACTGATGAGAGGGGAGGCGCGGTGAAAGCAGACAGCTCGTGGCCTCAGAACGTGTGATTTCTTTGCTCTCGTGATTCAGGAGAATCGGCACCTCCCTCTCCACCTGGGTATCAATGGGTCCTCAGCTGCTGGTCACCAAGGCCACCAGACATCCTCTGCCCACTTCCTCCTCACTCCCAATCTGCTTCCAGTTGTTGTAGCCTAGGAAAGCAAGGGGTCAAGCTCATTGGAAATTTTAAAGATTTTAAGTGAGAACAAATGGGCCAAAAGCAGCTTTCCAGGAGTTAAGCGCATACAGTTTAGCACATGGATTTGGCACTGATTTTGCATGCTCACTGGCCCCTTTTTGCTTTTATTTAGAAAACATTGCAATTGTGCATCTCTGCAATGTTTACAAGCAGTGACAATCTTATTGTTGTGACCCCTGAGAAATAAATAATAACCTTTTATGGAAGATAAAACAGTGGGACAGAGTACCCAAGCATTACACCCAAAGCTTAGCTCTGGAGTGTGATTTGAACCCCGGTCCCTAGGCTACAAGGCCTATATACCTTCTGGGTTATGGTGGTGCTCTGCAGTCTCCGAACACCCACTATAGACCAGGTCCTGGAATAAAGAAATAAAGAAGACACATAAAAATTCCTGCCTTTATGAAGTTCACATTCTAGTGAGGGGAGAAACAAAGATAAATTCATAAGGTATTTGTTACTTTAGCAAATGATGAGGGCAATGAAGAAACAGGATGCTAAGAGCCATAGAAACTGTGACAGATATATCTGAGCAGAGACCTGAATGAAGCAAGGTAGCACACCCGCAGGTATCTGCAGGAAGAAAGTCATGGCAGGAGGGAGAGGGCAGGGCAAAGGCTGGAGGGAGTTCAGGAAAGGATGGAGGCCACTGGCATCCCCTGGACCTGAAGCAGGTCAGCCAAGATGGAAGGAAGGACCCTTGCAGGGTCTCGTAGGTGACTCTCATAAGGTCAGCTTGGACTTGGAGTGAGATGGAAAGCTATCAGAGTTATGAGCAGAAAAGTGATGTGAAAATTTGTTTTGAAAGGATCCCTTCTGGGCGCGGTGCCTCACGCCTGTAATCCCAGCACCTTGGGAAGATAAGGCGGGCATATCACTTGAGGTCAGGAGTTTGTGACAAGCCTGGCCAACGTGGTGAAACCTATCTCTACTAAAAAAAAAAAAAAAAAATTAGCCAGTCATGGTGCTGCATGCCTGTAATCCCAGCTACCTGGAAGGCCGAGGCAGGAGAATCATTTGAAACTGGGAGGCTAAGGTTGCAGTGAGCTGAGATCACACCACTCTACTCCATCCTGGGAGACAAAGTGAAACTCTATCTCAAAAAAATAAATAAATAAATAAATAAATAAAAAGATCCCCCTGCCTGCCAAGTTGAAAATAAAGTGTAAGGAAAGAAAAAATGAGAAAATCCAAGGAAAACAACTTTGAGGCCACTACTGCCATCCAGGAAATTGGACCTCAGTGGTGGCAATTAAGGTGGGGAGTAGGCTGTCTGAGTCTGTGTCTGTGTGGAAGATAGACCCACTAGGGTTTGCTGCCACGTTGAATATGGGGTAAAAGAAAAAGAGGTGGAAAAAAAAGATGACTACAGGATTTTTGTCATGAGCAGCTGGAAGAATTAAGCTATTTACTGAGATGCAGGTGGAGCTGATTTGAGATGCTCTCAGGTAGCCAAGCAGAGAGATCAGCAAGCAGTTTCTGTGTGATTTGGGATCTCAGAGAAGATATCTGGGCTGGGGAAATACACTTGGGAGTTGTCAGGGGGCAATGGTATAGAAAGCTGTGATACTGAGGTACAAAAGGCAGAGATTCCCTAGGGTAGAGTCCTGGGTCACTCAACATTCAGAGTCCAAGGAAATGAGAAGCAGCTGAGAAGTCTGAGAAGGAACAGGGAGTGAGGCTGAGACAGAAGTGAGGAAGCTGGAGCCAGGGTCACCTGAAAAGACCAAAAAGTGGGCAACAGGAAGGTCACCAGGAACCAAGACTTACACAGCTCAGGCGTCCAAGAAGGAGTTCAGGGAGAGGATGCAGAACGCACATGTGCATAACTGCCCACAAGCACTGCTACAAAGACAAGGACAGACACATGGGAGTGGTAGGAGGGAAAATGGAGTCAGAGAAGGAATATGTCTGTGTGCTGAAGGGAAGGTCCTATAAAGAGGGAAGAATTGATGCTGAAGAGAAATACGGAAAAGAAAGAGAGAGAGAGAGAAGGAAAGGGAGAGAAAGGAAACGGAGGGAGGGAGGAAGGGAGGGAGGGAGGAAGGGAGGGGGGAGGAAGGGAGGGGGGAGGAAGGGAGGGGGGAGGAAGGGAGGGGGGAGGAAGGGAGGGGGGAGGAAGGAGGGAGAGAGAAAGGAAAGAAAGAGAAAGGAGAGAAAGGGAGAAAGAGAGAGGGAAAAAAAGAAGAAGAAAGGGAGGGAGGAAGGGAGAGGAAGGAATGAAGGAAGAAGAGAAGGGAAGGAGGGAAGGTGGGAAGGAGGGAGGGAGGGAGGCAAAGAAAAAAGATGGCTGAAGCAATGTCCTTCAAAGGGCAGGTAGAGCTTGGGTGCTTGCCCCACAAGGAGGGTGGTCTTCACTGCCAGCAGAGCCCACCCCCTGTCACGGAAGGAGGGCAGGGAATGGGGCATAGGCTCAATGCCAGCAGGCACGTTGTGCTAGGGTTAGGGTAAAAGACTGAGAAAGTTCTCTATTTTCCACTAGTTTCTCACTAAAATAGAAAGCATGGTCATCAGCTGAAAAGATAGTTTGAGAGAGAGAATGATATTTTAAAAATCACATAGAAGGAAAGCAAATGTACTAAGGAAATTCAGAATATCCAACCAAGCAGTGCAGTGGCCCCACCACAGGTCAGTGGCCACCGTGCCACTGACAGGCAGGGGGCAGCAGGTGGCTGGCTTTTCCAGAGGCACATTCCATTGTGTGGTGCAGGTATGAGCAGACATGGAAGTAGGTATTATTCCAAGTAGGCGAGAGAGGAGTGTGGAATAGAAAACAGCCAATTCTTGAGAAGAATGGAGGAAAGCAGATCAAAAAGGAAGCTGCCTGCGGGCAGGCGGAGGAGGCAGAGAAGCATTCAGAGAACAGCTGACGGAAGAGGAGACTTTGCAAATGGTTATGTGCAAAGAGTTATGGTTAATGCAATGGCATGCTTGATATCATTAATGTAACGTAATGTTATATATATATGTAATGAAATATATATATATAATGTAATGTAATATATATGTAATGAAATATATGACATAACATAAGACATAAGAAACAGTGTTCAAGGAACGTAAGTGAAAGCACTGCTGATGTTAGGTTACCAGAAGGATTGAGCTGGTAAAACATCAGCTGGCCTCACAGTAGACACCAATGCCATGAAGGCATTGAAGTTATTGGCAATGGCAGAGTCAGGGGTGTGACCTTGTGTACAAGCACTTGAGATGGGTTGCAGGACGAATAGGAGGCAAAGAAGTCAAGGAGGTAAAAGACCAGGAATTGCAAGAAGTTCTGGGAAAGATTTTGAAATCAGCAACAATTCAAACAAGCACTGTTGAAGAGAGTAACAGAGTACTGGAGCCTAAGGAATGAGGGTGGGGGTGGTAAGCCCAGCATCTATAGATGACAGTGAGCATGGGCTGGATGATGTGAGATTCATACCTAGGAGTTTTAGAAAGGAAGAACAGAGAATGGTCTGCAAGTACAGTGGGGAGCCAGGATGACATGAACCCCATTAACATCCAGGCCAATGGCGAAAGAGCATGGGGAGAAAACAGCCAATACTTAGGGAGGCTGCAGGGAAGCAGAGCCCTTCAGGACAAGGCTACTGTACAGAAAGAAGCGGGAGAGTTGAAGGGGTAAGAGAGTTTGCAAATGACACATTCCAGGGGGCACCCAGTGTGAGTTTTAGGAATTGAGAAGAAGTCAGAGTTGAAGGTCGGAAAAGAACTAGCTACAAACGAAAATCCCTTGTTAAAGATTATTAAGAAGTTCAAGATGGCAACTTCAGCACATTAAAACAGACCTTGGTCTGAGTGCAGGGCTCTGAGTTAAAACTGCACATTACACATGCCCTTGAAGGATGCCCATGGAACCAGCCTGCGTCCTGCGTCAGAAAGGGGGATTACAGTTAACGGGGAAAGAGATGCCCTGGAAAGCTACAACAGCTTTCTGAGGTGGCTTATAACACAGGACAAGGGACAGGAGAAGTGATCCTGATGGTTCTCAAATAGATAATGGTGGCATTTGACAGGGGAGAGGGGGAGGCAGGGGTCGTGCCGGGAACAAGCAGAAGCCTGGGACGTGTGTTCTGCTCTCCCTGATGCAGCCTTGAGAGCCGGAAGAGGGTCCCCGATGGAGCCTTGAGAACCGGAAGAGGGTCCCCGGTGGAGCCTTGAGAGCTGGAAGAGGGTCCCCGATGCAGCCTTGAGAGCGGGAAGAGGGTCCCCGATGGAGCCTTGAGAGCCGGAAGAGGGTCCCCGATGCAGCCTTGAGAGCAGGAATAGGGTCCCCGATGGAGCTTTTAGAGCGGGAAGAGGGTCCCCGATGCAGCCTTGAGAGCGGGAAGAGCTTCCCCGATGGAGCCTTGAGAGCCGGAAGAGGGTCCCCGATGGAGCCTTGAGAGCCGGAAGAGGGTCCCCGATGGAGCCTTGAGAGCGGGAAGAGGGTCCCCGATGGAGCCTTGAGAGCCGGAAGAGGGTCCCCGATGGAGCCTTGAGAGCCGGAAGAGGGTCCCCGATGGAGCCTTGAGAGCCGGAAGAGGGTCCCCGATGCAGCCTTGAGAGCCGGAAGAGGGTCCCCGATGCAGCCTTGAGAGCCGGAAGAGGGTCCCCGATGCAGCCTTGAGAGCCGGAAGAGGGTCCCCGATGGAGCCTTGAGAGCTGGAAGAGGGTGGCTTCACTCTGGACCCAAACACTGCCCTGATGAAGCAAGGGTTTCCCTGCCTTTTCAATTGTGTTCCCACAGAGGAAGCTGCAAGGACTGCAGGCGACCTGGAAGGGACAACATTCTTCTTCCCTGGTCCCCAGGGCCCACAGGACATCCTTGGGTCCTTGGAAGAGTTTGAATAATAAATACTCTTAATACAGTGGAGGTTTTCAAACATTTCCCTTCCTTGTATTGTTAGATCATGGGAGGTAGTGGCACAAATCATCAGAGAGGTCATCTAAGTATCAGAGTAGGGGGCTCTGCAGTTACAGGTATCATCTTCTAAATCTCAGAGCTGCTCAGGATGAAAATCTCAGTAATAAACCCATTCTCTTGGTTTCCCACATAAACACTGAGAGCACTGGGTATTGGCTTTGGAATCAGACAGATCTGGATTTGATTCTAGGCTCTGCCAGGTACTACCTGGGTTCCTTACATTACCAGGTGACTGACTCAGTTCACTTCATGGTTGAATCAAATAGATTAAATGAAAATGGGAGAATGTATATAAAGTTCCTTACTTCTTGAAGATGTGTAAAATGGTAACTATTAGTACCTCTGCAGTTATTGGGGACAGAGATGATGAATGTCTTACAGTAGGAAATCTTCTCCCCTCTTGCAAGGAATAGGAGGGGCCCTATGCCCCTCCCGGGCATTCCCCAGTTGTGTGCCCTGGGGAGTGACTGGGAATGATATTAGGAGCCTAACCCCGAGCCCCGGGCTGCCTCTTTTCTTACTGACTTCCCTTGCTGCAGCATGATTTGTATTTATTACATATTAATGTCACTCACCCATTTAGAGCCACTAATGAAAACAATTTATGTAAGTAATGAAAACAATTATATAACAAATGGCTAATTATGTGACACTTGGAGAAGAATTAAACATTCAGAACATGAAATTCAATAATGTGTACATTTGATATCCAATTTACCACAAAATGTGGAAACCAGGGACAGATTTTAAATCAAGTTGATTTTGTTGGCTACTGTCAGAATGAGCTGAGAGCTCTTTCCTTTTCCGCAATCCAGTCCCACATCTCCCCAGGGGCTGGCAACCTTGGAGGCCGGAAAGAGCATGGGCCCAGCGTGACACGGAGCTGGGTTCTAACTCCGACTCTACCACTTTCCCACTTTGCACCCTTGGGGAAGGCACTTAAGTTTTCTGAGTCCCAGTGGGCTCATACATCTGCTTTATAAGGTGATTGTGAGGATTGGTACTTAACCATGTCAGTAAAGTACCGAGCGCCTGGTCCATAGCGGGAAGGTGATAAATGTGAGTGCTGTTCTCTCCAGGGTGTGGGCTTCAGAGCGGACAACATTTAATTTTCTGCACAGCACACTCATCCCCTACACACACATGCACGCGCGCACACACACACACACACACAGAGAGAGAGAGAGATAAAGGAAAGGCAGCAACCATGTCAAGTCCCATGAAGAAGATACCTCAAAGTCAGCCCTGAAAGGCAAAGGCGGCACACGAGAGGATGGTGTCCAGAGGATTCCCTGAGGAAGTGAAGTTGTTTAGCAGACAGGCTGGGGGCTCTGCCTTCTTCCCCAGGTGTTCCTGGGTGTCAGCTGGAGACAGTTCCGATGGTGCCATGAGTCCCTGCTTTTCTCTTACTGGACTCTGAGTGACAGGTGAGAAGCAGCAGGGTGTGCGGCGCTGCATCCCAAAGCAGCCCTCAACTAAGGAGAGGACAGTCATCCGATGAAGCCCCCAGCCCTTGCCCTCAGGGCCTGGCTCTAAGCATCTCCCATGTATGCTTTCAGAGGACCACGAGGCAACCCAGGCCCCGTCTCCTACATCAATCACCTGCTCCATAAAGTGCCTCTTGTTGACTTTGCTCCCTGCCTTACTTCCCCAGCCCCTAGAATGCTTCCTGGAATGCTTTCCAAAATCAACTAATAGAGCCCTAACCCTGGACTAAGGTCAGCCTTGGGTCGGGAGATGTCCCAAAGAAGCCATGGTCAAGCCTGCATTACGTACACAACCTACTGAGAAATCTCCACAGAGATCTAAATAATCCCATCATCCAAAACTAATCCTAGAGGAGCTCAAATCCTGTATCCTGTCTAAAAGGATGGCTCCTGTAAAAAGAAATGCATTCACGAAGGGTCCATCCCAGAGGCCTTCCTGAGAATGGGCACTTCAGATGTGTCTCCCAAAGCACCCACTGGCCAAACAATGGGACCTGTTAAAAAGGGACAAAATACAGACAAATGCTGCTGAGGAGGAGGAAGATGAAGAAGTTCAAAGCACTGTCCTGGCTCTTGCCTAAAATGTTCTGGGCTGAGCAGTATCGATGGGTGTGCAGGGCCATCCATGGTGGCAGGTGTCTGGCAATGGAGAAGTCACAGGACCCCACCCCTCAACACACACACAGGACAACAGTGGGCTCAGCCACATCAAGGTTCTAACACTTTCACCAACCCTCGACTGATCTCATTTGCCATTTTCTGTACCTAATAGTGCCACCAGGAACCAGCCAGGTCATATTGCTGTTTGCATTATAGACTCAGCCAGACATCAGTGACAGGCCAGCCGAGTCCCTCCCTGTTGTGACTAAACCTCTCTGAACGGGATTAAAGGGCCCAAAGTCCTAATTGGAATAAATAGTACAGATAAACTTGGCACTTTATACTCCTCGAAACATGCCCCAGGGAGACAAACCCTGACACTGTTTCTGCCTGTGTGCTGAAGAGCTCACCCTGTCACTCCATCCCCTCAGGAACACAACCCATTCCCAATGATGACAATATAATCCCAATTATCCCTGTACCCTTTACAGATGAACATGGTGCTATATGTGTGTATACTGTACAATTAATAAGTATTTCAAAGCTAAATGGAAACTAAATCGTAGAGGATTAAATCAGACACTGGAGCCCCCTCCACAGCTGGCTCTACTGCCTTTGGAAGAGTTGGTGTGGGGCCCCGGCACCCCAGTCCTGCAGTGAGCCCGTCCGAAATAGGAATAAGCACCTGCTCTGGGTTTGTGTGAGCCACACTTTCATACGATTGGATGGTGGGGAGGAAGCCCAGCTCCACTGGGTGCACAGCTTCTGTAGTCAGTCAGGTCGCACCAAAACGGCAACTGTGACCACAGAAGGCAGCTTTCGCCTCTCACTAGTGTGCCAGGGCACTCCAGGCTGAAATGAAGTTCCTACTGCTCCATCCAATATGTTCATCACCAACATCTTCCCTAAGGTGGGTCACCACGCCCTGCAGGATGTGGCGCTGAGGACAGGACTGTGCCCCGCTGATGGAGCGGCCACAGTGTGAGGTTGGAGCCCTTCTTGGGAGAATTATCCCAGATGAGCCTGACTAGTGACAGGCCCTGGGGAGGAAGGGTGTTTGGTCTTATGGTTTCTTCTCTCCCTTATTTTTCTTTTGGAGGTGACACTCGGCCAGAAAACAGCACAGTTGCTAAGCTGGGTTCTGTTTCCAAATGAATGGCTAAGGCCTCCAACGCACTTCTACCTGGAGAAGTGTTTTGATTCACGAATAAAGCTCTTATAAAATTAGAAGAAAGGGGAACAGCTGTAAACCTACAGGGACGGCTTCTGTGGCCGCTGTGGTCTTCATGTGGTCGTGTCCCTTGTCCACACCCAGAAAGGGGCAGAGCTTCTCTGGCCACTTCAAAAAAGCACATTAACAGACCCCGCTCTGAGAATCAGGAGCAGGAACCTACACATTTTAAGGCCTTACATTCTCACTGTCAGGTTCCGGGTCTAATGGGTAAAACTGAAACGCCCTCGCCTAGTGTCTGAGGACTCCCTCGTGTGGCATCAGCTCCTGTTCTCACCTCTTCTTCCTCCTTCTTCCTGACATTTGGTCCCCCAGATTCTCTATTTGCATTGAGCACCTCCACTTTTCCCCCTGTTACAGGTTGGGTTGTGTCCACCACATATCTTGAAGTCCTAATCCCCAGCACCTTATTTGAGAATATGACCTTATTTGGAAGTAGGGTGGGCCCTAATCGATGTCTGGTGTCTGATAAGAAGGAAGAGGACAGCATGAAAACACAAAAACACAGGAGATGGCCACGTGACCACAGAGGCCGAGATGGGAGAGAGGCGTCCACAAGCCAAGGAATGCAAGGATCAGAGCAACACCAGAAGCTGGCACACGGCGCGGCTCTGCCAACCCCTGGTCCCCTGTGCCTGTGAGGCCAGGCATCCTTGCTGTTTGAAGGCACCCAGCTGGTGGTATTTTGCTACTGCAGCCCCAGGACACAAATCCACTCTCCTTTTAGAGAATCCACCTCAACTCCCTACCACATTCCCACTCACATCAAAGTCAAGCTCCACGTGCTCTGTCTCCAAAGCTGTGTCTCTGTCTGCTCTGTCCCCACCTTCCTCAGCAGCACCCACTGTCTAGGCCCCTCTGGCCCAATCATGAGCCACATCCTCCTACACCTGCCCGTTCTCCAACATTTCTTACGCACAGACCCCATCTCTCTAGCCCCATTCCTCAAGGCAGGGACCACGAGTTTCATTCATCATTCTCCCTCATCTTGCCTGGAGCTTACGCATCCAGTAAATAACAAACACTTGTTTAACATCTTATTTCGAATCAAGAAGTGGAAGTAATTGACAAAGCTGCTTCTCTGGTGGAGAAGTTTGTCTGCTTGTGTCTTTGTTTCCCTCTCCATTCACCGAGACAAGGCAATAAAAAGGCCCCAGCCACTGATCATGCAGAGTACAGCACAAATATGCTGTCACTAAGCGTGGACCATTAAATACTACGTAACGTATGGTGAAAATTATAGCCTCCCCTTCCATTCCTGATCATGGAATAGTCTATTTATTTATAAAATAGTTGACATAATGAATAGTTATTTTGCCTTTTATTAAGGTGTGGTTAATATTTATCACTTAATTTTCCTGTCCTAAGCAAAGGAGAAAATAGACATTTGTGTGACTTCAAAAATTACAAGGGCAATTCACATTCAATAACAAACTGAAATAGTCGTTTACAACAAATGGTGCAAAATCCACGCAGCACCAGCCCTAAGTCCGATCTCAGTTATAAATAATTGTGGAAGACTTCTGCGGTGTGAATAACTGAAGTCAACAAAATATTCCAAATTGGCGGCATCATTATTCCTGGGGAACATGTTGCTCTGTCTCTCCTCAGACACAATTGTCACCAAATCATGTTTTATGATAATATTATAAAGCTACCTATGATCAAAAAACAACACAAAAAAAACGAGAGCCAAAATAGGAATAATTCATTTATAACAGTTAATAGAAGAACAGGATTGCATTTTAAATAATAAAATGTTTGTTTCCATATGAAAATAGTGACTATTTTGAGAAATGACTATAATTCTTTTTTCTTACACATATTTATAAAACCTTAATGTAACCCTAGCAACACAATACCATAATAGTGAAAGATTAGCTTGTTTTGTTTTGTTTAAACTTTCCAATGGTTGGCTTAAATCGTGAAGACTACACAATTTTGTAAGGCTTCAAATAATTAAGAATCTCCTGTATAATCTACAAAATACTAATATGAGGTTAACTAGAGCAGAGACATCTATACTCTTAGACTTCCTCTTAAGAAACGCCTGCTTCCAGTTATGATTTTACAACATGCAATGCAAGAATACTCTGCATTTATGTAACATTTTCAAGTTTCCAAAGGTAGCTGCTACATGTGCAGTGAGCTTAGATGTGTTTAGAGCATCAAAATTATTAATATATTTAAATTAATAAATACCTGCTCCCTCCTCAAATGCAGGCCCAGCGTCAATCATTTTGGGGTCCGTCATTCTTACCCCATGTCCAGAAATCAGAAAGCAGAACTTAGGTGGTCTGGAAGTAGGGATGTCCTCTGAATCTGGGTCAGTAGGGGTGTCCTGTGACCCTCCAAGCCAGTAGGGGTGTCCTGTGACCCTCTGGGTCTGACCACATGAGTTGAGACTTAAGGGAAGAGATTTCTGAGAATGGCACCTAAGACAGTACCATGTAGAGAATGCAGGTCCCAATCTGTGGCATAAACAGCTGCATAAACCCCAAAGAGAAACTAGATCCCCCAAGCATCTGGCGATGCAATGGTTTAACCAGTACTTCATCCTGAGCTTTTAGTGCAGCTTTACTTATTCTGAAGATTCCATTCTTGGCTTACTTATGCCACTAAAAATTAATGGAAGGAAGAAGATTTTCACCATACCAAAATTAGACGGTTAGTAGTTTTTCTTAAGTAATGAAGAGAGATCACCAAAAGAAAAGAGAACTGAGAATCTCTCAAGCCAGGAATAAGGCTGGGCACTCCTGTGGTGTGTAACCCACAGCATGCTCCCACACACTGACACACATACACTTTATTTCCACATGGGGGAAGCTTACGTGGTGGTTTAGGTTTCTGATTACACCCCACTAATGCAGATCATTCCATCAATAAAACAAACAAACAAAACATATTAAGCACTGTACTAGGGACCATAAAAGTGCATAATTTTCTAAGTACCTAGTGTATCTGCATAATTACAAAGAACTGTCATGGCCAATAGCAGCATTTTTTACATACACAACTCTGTAACGTAACTACTTGAATTATAGGAACATGTGACAAAATTATCTGGAGTATTTGTGTTACTATAACAAATCTGGCACAATTTGAAACCAATCTAGAATAATAATTTTTAAAAGAAGGTAGGAAGGGGAACAGAAATGTAAGATTATGCAACTGGCCAAAATAGAAGCAGCAACAGCTTTCAGTGTCTGGGCAGCAGAAAGTGCAGGATTGCAAAACTTGGAAGGAGAGCAGGGGGTCCACATGCTCCCCAGGCTCCCTCAGTCACACAGGGCAGAGAGTCCGTCTCGCTGTGCTGAGGAGGTCCATCCACACCATAGACTCAACTACGATGGCCCAATGTCTAACAGACATGGAATTCAGTCCCCAAGTGATAGAAAAAAAAAATGGAATGGACAAAATATATGCGGATAAGTGACTTAAATTCCCCAAATTTGTTGCAAAACATCTACCTAGATATCTAAGAAGCTCAGCAAAGCCCAACCATAGTAAATACAGAGACAACCACACCTCACTCAGCAAACTCTTGAAAACCAAAGACAAAGAGAAATAAAACTAAAAAGTCGCAAGAGAAAAAATATACTTATAATATATAGGAAAACAAGGATATCAATTAGAGCTGACTTCTCACTAACACAATGGAAGCCAGAAGAAATGGGATGAAATAATCAAGGAATAAAAGAAAAAATATGGCGAACCCAGAATTCTCTAACCAGCAAAAAGTATCCCCCAAAAATTAAGGTAAGAGAAATATCTTTTAGATAAATGAAAATTAAGAAAATTTGTCACCAACATATCTGCATTAAAAGAACGAGTAAAAGAATTTCTTCAGGATGAAGAAAAATGACACCAGTTAGAAATATTACGAGAGAATGAAGAGCACCAAACACAGACATAGAAATAGAACACAGACCTAAAAATCTATGGTAAAGAGTATGTATTTACCCTTCTCAATTATTTTAAAAGACTCTTTTCTTAATGACTTTTGGCAGTTTAAAGCAAAAATAAAAATTGCACTGTGGAGTTCATTAGGAATATTGTGTAAAATATGTATACATTGTACCACAAAGAAACTGTGAGGTAAATGGATTACACAGTTATAAGATTCTTAAACTTTGCATTAAGTGATATATATAGATGCTAGATAGACTATAAAAAATTATGGATGAATATTAAAATTCTAACAATGACACTAAAAATACAACACAAGGAGTTATAGCTTAAAAGGAGTAGAGGAATTGTAATGGAATACAATAAATAAATAAATAACAGAAGGGAGTGAAAAAGAACAGAACAATAAAATGTAACAAACAAAAAGCAGCTGGGATAAGTAAAACAAATAGCAAAATGGTAGACTTAAACAAACAACATCAATAATTACCTAAAATATCAATAGACTAAATGCCAATTAAAAGGCATAAATGTCAGGATAAAAAAAAGCTAACTGTTTGTGGATATAAACAATATACATTAAACATGAAGACAAGTTAAAATATGATAAGAAAGACCTACAAGGTGAATTGTTTGCATAAATAAGCTCACAGAGGCTGGGCGTGGTGGCTCACGCCTGTAATCCCAGCACTTTGGGAGGCCAAAGCAGGTGGGTCACTTGAGGTCAGGAGTTCAATACCAGTCTGGCCAACATGGCAAAACCCTGTCTCTACTGATAATACAAAAATTAGCCGGGCGTGGTGGCACATGCCTGTAATCCCAGCTACTCAGGAGGCTGAGGCAGGAAAATTACCTGAACCCGGGAGGTGAAGGTTGCAGTGAGCCGAGATCGAGCCACAGCACTCCAGCCTGGGCAACACGCTGAGACTCTGTCAAAAAAAAAAAAAAAAAAGCCCACAGGCTTGTTCATATGACACAGAGCCGAAGTCAAGGCAAAGAGACAGAGATAAGGAGAGAAAATGCATAATGAAGAAGGGGTTAATGTTGCCAAATGTGAGTGTTCCTACTAACAGAGTTTCAAGACGTCTGAAGCAAAATGTACTTCAATTAAGAGAAAAATAGAAAGCTCAACATCATAGTGATTTTTGCATAGTTCTCTGTTACATGAAGTTCAAAAAGTGTCAAAGCTAATCTATCATCATAGAAGCCAGGACACATTGTCTGCAGGGGTGGGAATGGACTGGAAGGAGCATTAGGGAGCCTTAGAGGTTAAACTATATTTATCACATAAATGTGTATAAATGTGATACATAAATGTGTGTGCCCATTTATGTGATCAGTATAGTTTAACCCGTAAAGTTTAGAGGTAAACTTTAACCTTGGTATAGTTTAACCTTTATCAGTAGAGTTTAACCTCTGTATGTGTGTGTATGTGTGCGTATGTCAAAATTAATCAAGTATGCATTTGATTTTTTTATAAAAGGAAAAGAATAGAAGATATTAGATAACAAGGGGTGGCAGAGTGGATGAGTTAAGGGTCCCAGATTGGACAGCTTGAACAACAGAAACCTACTGTCTCACGGTTCTGGAAGATGGAAGTCGAGATCAAGGTGTCAACAGGTTTGGTTTTCCGTGAGGGAGGATCTGTTCTGGACATTGCTCTTCGGCTTGAGGATGCAATTGCCGCCCTGCGTCTTCACATGTGCTTCCCTATGTGCCAATCTGTGCCCTAATTTCTTCTTCTTAAAGGACACTGGTGACCCTAATGAACTCATTTCAAGGTAATTGCCCATTTAAAGGCGCTATCTCCAAATATGGACACATTCTGAGATCCAGGGGGATCTCATAAATTTTGGGGGAGGTACAATTCAGCCCACACTACCAAGTAGAGAAGCCACAATCCAGCAAGACATCTGAAAAGAAGAACCTCAGGATAATCCAACTACAGTCATCAAAATCAGTATTATTTATGGCTTAAATAAAAGCAACCTAAGTTAAACAGAAATTGGAAAAATACTCCCTAAAATAATTCAAATGTATATCTTTACTTTTTTTTTTTTTCTTTTATTTAGGTTTTAGGGTTTTCCTGCTGATAATTTTGGAATCCAAAGAACTTTTCAAAAATCGTATTACTGGTTCTGATCCCGGTAATGAGTTTTTCAGATGGAGATGTAAGGGACGTGGAAGGGAGGCTTGTGGGAAGATGTCAACAGCGACAGAGACTTGCTTGAGAAAATTCAAGAATGCAAGCCTGGGCCAATGGGGACCAGGAGGACAGGAGTCGTGCTGAATGGCAAAGTGGCTGTTGGTATCCTCCTGGGATAGTGACCTTCCCCTTAATTTCAGTGGCAGATCAAGGTCTTTTTCCTCATCTTCCCTGGCGTAGAAGAGCCATTGTGTACGCTCAGGTGGAGCCCATGCACCACGTGGGGTGAGAGCATGGTTTCCAGCCCGAATAACATCTTCCAGAGATTGCCTGGAAGATTGATGAATAAGCCTTTTCTCTGTTAACAGAATTAATATCATATGGAGCCTTCAGAAGGCGATACCCGATGTAGAGTCAGATGCCAGGGAGGGTTTTGTTGTTTTTTTTTTTCTAACCATCCATAAACCTGCACGGCACAGATGTTCCACAGCAGGGGTCCTGGGTTGTAGAATATGCAAGACTAATATGGAAATCTTGAATACCGTGGCCAGATGCAGGCAGGCAAACCCTGCTGTAGGAATGCAGACTCGTTTCACTGCCATAATTCTAAGTCAGTCATCTGGTTTGCATGAAAGTACCTAATTTGGGGCACAATGTACATTATTTGGGTGATGGTTCCATTAAAAGCCCAGACTTCACCACTACACAATATCTCCATGTAACAAGACGGTCCTTGTACCCCTTACATTTATACAAATTTTTAAAATAAAAAAGTAAATAATGTATTTAAATCAAGAGGTGTGTTACCTTTAAAAATATATCCCTGATAAAATCGTTCAGTTGATAGCATTTCACAAAACTGTGCCACCCCAAATTCTGCTCTCTCCACCACAACCATTAAAGCTAGCTTCTCATCCCAATAGATGGAACATTCTGAACAGCAGGGACTTTACTTGCTAAAAGGGTTGGGGTTCGAAAAAGCCACACCATGACACGTGAGGTGTGCTCCATTTAGGAAATCTGATGAAATGGGGGCTCAGCATTAACCTTCGAGGAAGAAAAGCTGGGCCTGGTGCTTTCAAAATTAGCGAGGCCAATATTTCACCATGACAAGCATTAGTAATGAATAATTAAGTGTTTAATATAATGTTGCTTCGGTGAAAAATGATAATTTTACAGTTGATGGGCCTTAAACCTATTCTATCCTATTACGTGGCATTAAAATGAAAGGGAGGGAGTGCTAATGAAATAAATGGTTTTCTGATGGCTGAGCTGTAGCAATCCTAAGGTTAAAAATCTTTTCAGAACCCAACAGTGACCCTGCTGAGAGAATTTCATAAAAAATTTAAGAGGAAAATTTCAACCTGGAACAAGCTCATGTCTCACACCAGCTTGCCTGAGGTCAAACAGTGTTTTTTTCCTATAATGCTTAGTTAATGTCACAGATATAAATCATTCAGCAGATGCAGATGTTGCCATATCTTAAAATGAAACTTTAGCTGTCCTTCAAATCCTATTTTTATTAGGCATTGGAGTTATTTAAAACAATTTAACAAATGCATTCATGCATAGCTTCCTATAAAAAATGTTTATTGCAAGATTTTTTTTTTCTTTCCTCAGTAAATAGAGCTACTACTCTGAGCGGCCCGTCTGTCACTCGGACTGTTGCAGAGTATGCTGGCTGGTGGGCATGGCTGTCAGCAGCAGCACTGTCCTTGCTAAGAATTATCACCACTATCTGAAAAGAAAAATTGCATTTCAAAGATCATCTATTACTTCCCAGTAACACTTCTTTAAGTAAGGGGAAGAGTAATTTCTTTAATATGCAGGAAGCGCTAATTAGAATCTGCATTTTTATTCATTCATTCTAATTTCATTGAAAAGTACAAAAGTTCTGGAGAAAGGTTTAATTAGGGCAACATTTAGAAGGGAGAAATTAAGAGTTAGCCACAAGGAATCACACCAGAGATTTCTGTTGGAGGTAAATAAAAACATGCTAATTGTTTTCTTTGTGTTTGTTGAACTGTAACTTAAACAGTAGAACCAAGCTCTGTGCCTTCCGTCTGAGACATGAACAACTTAATTTGTCAAGAATCTGACCTTCAGAGAATCAGCCCTCAATGCAGAAAGAGTGAAGATACTTGGATCAACATTATAGTGTCCACCTGTGTTGGTACAACTCTTCAGGCAAAGCTGGTTCAATGCCCAGGATGGGGACAGGGACACCCAGATGTGAGAGGTTTTAGTGCAAAACAGACTTCTGCTTCTTTCTGTCATGACTCCCATTGACCTGAGGCTCCACACTAAAGCAGCTGGATACCTCCAGCACTGGCCGCCTCAGGGTTGCTGGCTTGGCACACACACTCCACTTCTCTCTCATGGTCACGGGGGCTGCTCCCCAAGGCCCTGCAGCTGCCTGGACTCCCCAAGGCCAGTCTCCCTTCCCTCCGCTGTGCTCCATTCACCCCTCAATGCAGTGGCCTTGGCCTGATAGGATTTGCTATTTTCACTCATCCATATCCTCGCCTTCCCCAGAGGATGAGCTCCCTTCCTCTTCTAACTATGGTGCCTAAATGAATCCAATGCTTCGAGATTGCAAACCAGGGATCCATGCTCATGGACATTCAGATAACAACAATCCCCTGAGTCCCCCGCAGGCAGCAGGTGCTCACAGGGTCACATTAACATGAATCACTCAGTTTACAGTGGCTTGTGCACCCACCTGCAAAATACAAATCCTCTCAACAATTCTTACCCTTTCCGCCAGCCCCCAAAATTCTCACCAACTATGTGGGTTCTTCCAGGAGCTGGTGTTTCAAAGTTATGACAAGCAGCCTTCTCAGATTCTGCACTCCAGCTCTCCACAAAGCCACTTGTAAGAAGTTCACCTCCACCCCCGATTTCTGCTCCAGGGACATCCAGGGGAACCCAGATATCCGTGCCGAGGGGTCTTTCTCACTGTTTCCGACGCTATAGGCTCAGGGCCAAAGACCAGTGGCAAACGGTTTATCCCACATTGCACAAAAACAGAGAAAGTTTCTGCCCAGAATTGAGGAGAGGGTCCCTCTAGCCTGGCTCGTTATGCCCTTTGCCGCAGGCCCCAAGGCCACATGGCTCACGTCCTCCCTTTCTAGACTTCCTGAGAGAGCTGGCATCTCCCCTTCTTATGATGAAACTTCTCTCCACAGTTAAACATGAATGGGCCAAGCCCTCGACAGCCTCTGCCGTCCTTTCCTTCCTTGACTCTTCCCCTAGGTGCCCACAGGCATTTCCTCTACTGTGAACAAATAACTCATACAGGTGCCTGGTGGCACTAGCCCTGTGAACAGACCAGATACTCTCAGGAAGGCCAGAGTCCAAGGTTCAGGCTCAAAGACACATTTGACTATACAATGAGCATTTACTCTGTCCCAAGCGCAGGGCTGAGTACCCACCACAACCCTAGGAAGAAGGTGTAAGTAGTCACATCTTACAGATTATGAAATGGGTCTCAAGGAAGGTAGGACATTTCTCCAAAATAGAATCACAGAACCACAATGCACTAGGATTTCAACCTGGTCTATCCAACTCCAAATTCTATGTTTCTCACTCTGATGCAATACACTCCTTGATATAAATACTGCCTACAAGACATGCAAAATTCTACTGACACCAATACAAAGTAGACCAAAACTTGCTATTTTCATTTATATTTGGAGCAGCGTAATACAGCAGCAAAGATGTGAAGGGGCTGGGAAGCAGAACTCTGGGGTTCTGCTTCTGGATCCGCCACGTATTAACCTGCATTACGGTGGGCAAATCTGTGTAAACTCTCTGAGCTCCAGCCCCTTGGTCACTAAAACAATGATAAATTTACTCATTCTATCACCTCTTAAAATAGTGAAATTCAAGTGACGTCATGTTTGGGAAAAGCCTTTGAAAACTGTAAAGCCAGTGCTACCAAGAGAAAATGAGAGTAACGATGATTACTTTGCCTGGAGAGAATGAATCTCCTTCCAGTGTTTCGCTACGATAAGAAGAAGCATAACGTCCCACAGGAACCCAGACACAATCAAATGCATGCAGAGAAGAAAACAAAACAATGTGAAATAGACCCTCTTCAGGTAATGAGAATCTATTTTTTGCATCCCACGTGGACCTTCAGATTCCTCTCTCCGAGGCTTCTTCCGACATACTCCTCAAACCCTTTCCTTACGCCCTCTGTGACTCCCGGTGCACAGAATGCGCATCTGCCCCGTTCATGCTGTGTGCAGTTCATGGCAAGACATTCTGATCTGGACATTTTATGTGTCTGCTTGCCATGTGAAGTTTAAAGAAGTGTGTAGCTACTCATAAGTGTGGGGGCAGAATTAAAAAAAAAAAAAAACAGAAACCAAATATAAAATATTTACTTCCAGGAAGTAGACTGTTGGATCTACGGTAGAAAACATTCTACTTTTAGCAACCAGACTGTGTTAGCCACTTGGCTTCAAAGAGTGATTTTTATTTATTCTCATGAATAAAAATAAAGAATAGCTGTCTGCATTTTGCTCATCAACTAGCAATTCCTTGGCCACAACAGTTACATTAATATTACAGGCTCCATTTACATTTATTTAAAAGGGAGTACGCACTAAAGTATTGCATTTTCCTCTGTGGAGCATGCGGCCTCAGTGATGCCAATGATGCCCATTTCCAGGAAGCTCTGCAACTGCCGGAATTCCATTTGCCAGCAGCTGCCAGTGAACACCGATGATCCTCAGCCACAGGGTAATTTATTTGCATTTATTATTTTGCCTTGTTGTCCTGGACCACAGAGAAGTACGCACGGCCTCTTATTCACTTCCGCTTATGTGTCTACTGGGGTGACATGAAATGGACAGTATTGAATGCAGTATTGAATTAAGAATTGTGTGGTTCCTTATATCTGCAGGAATTTTGTGCAATCATCGTGAAATAATGTGAACTCAAATTCAACACACTGGAGGCCAGTGAGCAGGCAAAATAACACAAAAGCAGAAGCTCTCCTGGACACCAGTTTGTAACCTGCCCTGAAGCCTAAGAGGAGAGCTACATCTTCTGGCTTCAAGGTGACCCCGCTCAAACTTCCTCCCGGAAGCTGCAAGTGGAATAGTGACTGGGGAGAAATGTCTGAAGCGGGTGGTCTGAACAGAGAAGTTGCTAGCTACAGAATAATCTATGATTGGGTTCTCATTACTTAGTGATAACAAACACCTACAACAAGTTTCAGGTCTGAAACATCCACAGAATTGCAGCCAATTTAAAAGAGCAAGGTAGAATTACAAAACTGTGATCATCAGGTAGGTACACAGAGTTTTATTCTAGGGTATTAGACGAGTCCTGTCTCCATCATCCTGTCCCGTCCCTGAGAGCCCCACGGGGAAGCCAGCCCAGAGCATGTTGAGTTGTAAAAGGGTGTTTTCCTGCACCAGCATATCTCCTTTTAAAATAATTGATATCAGCCACGTAGTCACCATACAAACTATGTAATTTTCTATGACTTCTAATATTACATGAACTCAAAGAAGTATCTTTAAGGCTGTCTAAAATGCTTGAGATAAGAGTTACAGATGTTAGAAAACCTGAGGAAAGGTACTTTTGAGAGCAATGGCCCCACTTCTGAAGCCATGCCATTTTGACAACTACTTGCCAATAGTGAAATCAGCACCGCCATCCTCTTCTAAGAAAAATAACTATGAAGCAAGCCCTTGGCTTTCCTTTCTTCTGGGCTCTTGTATTCTCATTCTTTGTGACACGCAAACATACACACACACACACACACACACACACACACACACGATGCAGACTCAGATGAACGTGTGCATGCTCAAATCTTTTTGAATTCAAGTGCCTTCAAATATTTTTGAAAATATGAACAATTGAGGGCTTTTCAGACACTCTTACTTTTTACAGTGTCCAAAACAAGGAAATAAAGTACTTATTTCAAAATAATTCATCAAAAAATAGCCATTTAATTGCTATTTTTAAAATGCATTCTCCTAAGTGTATTGACCAGCTCTAACCAGAAGAAAACTAGAGTCTACCTTTTGATTGTAAACCAAAGACCAGATCTGTTTTCTTTTCTACTGTTTTGTAGTTAATAAAGGGTTGGGCCCATTTTGTTTTGTCTGTGTGCGGCATTCTTGGAGTTTAAAAATGGAAATCATCATAAAAAATAATGTAATGGTATCAATAGGGAAGCAAGAAAAGATTACACTCCATCTTGTACAAAACTAGAAAGCAAAGATAAGCCCGAACAAAATACTTTTGAGAATATCCTAAGGCCAGGAAGGCATGCTCAGAGCATAGACCTCAGATATAACCGGCAGAACGCATCTCAGATTTTCTATGCACCAGTCAGAAATCCTGGGCTTTATATATTTGCTCATGTCTCATTTTTCAATTACATGAAAAAATGCTCACCATCACTAGTAATCATGGAAATGCAAGTCAATAACAGAATGCAATGTTATCTCACCCCCATTAGAATAGTTATTATCAAAAAGACAAAAAATAACAAATGCTTATGGGGGAGTGCAGAAAAAAATGCTTATACCCTATTGGTGGGAATGTAAACTAGTACAGTTATTATAGAAAACAGTATGAAGGTTTCTCTAAAAACTAAAAATAGAACTACCATATGATCCAGCAATCCTGCTATTGAAAATTTACTCAAAGGAAAGAAAATCAGTATGTTGAAGAGATATCTGCAACCTCCTGTTTACTGCAGCACTATTCACAATAGCCAAGATATGGAATCAACCTAGATGTCCATCAGCAGATGAATGGATACAGAAAATACGGTACATACACACAATGGAATACTATTCAGCCATAAAAAAGAATGAAATCCTGTCATTCTTGGCAACATGGATGAACATGGAGGACATTATGTGAAATGAAATAAATCAGATTCAGAGAGATAAACACCGCACGTTCTCACTCATATGAAGGAGCTGGAAAAAAGTTGATCTGATAGAAATAAAGAGTGAAATTATGGTTATTAGATGTGGGGAAGGGAAGGGGAGAGGAGGGTAGGGAGAAGTTGGTTGCTGGATACAAAATTACAGCTAAATAGGAGGAATAAGTCCTAGTGTTCTATATAATACTGTAGTGTGACTATAGTTAACAAAGATTTATTGTATATATTCAAAAACCTAGGAGAGAAGACTCTGAATGTTCCCAATATGAAGAAATGATAAATATTTGAGGTGACAGATATGCTAATTACCGATTTGATCATGATACATTGTGTACATGTATTGAAATATCACTCTGTACCCCATAGATATGTACAATTGGTACATGAAAACTAAAAATAAAAGAAAAAAATGAAAAAAATCCCTGTGAAAATCTTTTGCTTTTGTTGAATGATCTGCTGTGAGCTGATGGCTGCAAGCTGAGAATGAGATACAGCAGCTGCTTGTCATCTTCCTAACTCATTGTGACTGTGACTATGCTCCTGTATTTACCTCTCATCTCTCACTGACTCTTTTTGGAAGCCAACCCCAAGCTGTATCCTGCACCTTGACTTGACAGGACCCAGGCTGTCACAGGCTCCCCTTGATCTGACAGCAGAAACAGCACTTGCCCCAGGTCGTCCACTGGACTGTCTGAGGGACAGCTCAAATAACATTAGCCTGGGGATGCTGTGTGCACAGAGAACGTATTCCATGCTCAGAGTCGGCCACGTCCTGGGGTCTGTTTAATTTCTGCTGAACAAACTATTCCTACCTTTACCAAGGCCCCTTCCAAGTTTGGAATCGCTCTGGATGAATCGATAGCTTAACGTGTCGCCATGGCAACAGGAGAACCCCCCCCCCCCCTCCGACAAGCCTAAGCACAAATTGTATTGATTTCTTTTTTGTTCAGTTCAAGATAACACAGAGCTTGAGTATCAGAATAACTCCCTTCTTTACAGCATGGGCTGCTACTTCTCTTAAGTGAGCTCCGCTTTTGTGAAGATGTAATTACACTAATGTATCTGGAAAAAAAATACAGACTCCTCTAAATAAAATGTACTGATGCTGACTAGACTCACAACTTTAATAACCCCTGGGTACAGAGCAGCAAATGCTCTCATAAATCCCAAGCATCCTGGCTCCCTGCGCTCCCATCATTTCCTCTGACCCGCCACCCTTCAGCGCCTGGCCTGCTTGGGTCTTGCTGGACCCTGAACAAGCAACAGAATCCCTGGAGACCACCTGCGGCTCTCAGGGCAGGTCTAAAACGACAAGTTTTATTTACATGTAACTAAGACTTGAAAGGGTTTAAGAATGCAAAGGAAGACTTCTCCCAGCACACCACCTCTAACATCCTTGAAATCAATCTCAAGTCCTTATGCACCCTCCAGCTGTCCCAGAGCTGGCAACAAGTGGTAACCTGGAGATGAGAGATTGCCACAGCCAGCCCTGTGCTGCGCCCATCACAACAGACAATGGGTAGAATAACACCACCTTCCCCTCCCCCGAGGAAAACAAGTCACATACACAGCCCTGATGACAAGCCACTTTACCCCAGGTCTGGTACAGGTATTTTAGCTGTTAGTTGTTATGTCGTTGCAGTTTTAGGTCAACATATCCTAGATCCCCAGTGGCAGTGAATGCTTCTCAAGGAGGAGACAATGCCTCATGTGACTTCCTGGGTATCCTCAGATCCCCGATTCAGACTCCAGTGCATAGAAAGCACTCAGTAAACATGTTCACTGTTTTTAAGAGCAGCATAGCAAAACATTTGAATGTAAAAGACACCATGAGACTTTGAGACATGTCTTTTTTAACCCTAGAGATGCTAATGTCTAAGTTGGAGAAAATAAAAAGAAAAGCTAATATGGACAGACGGCTTGCCATTTACTCACGTTGGATGCAATGTTTCACTTAGTTCACACCACAGCCCATTTTGCCGAATAGGAAACTGCCAGTGGAAAAGACTGCATAATCAGCCCAGAGTCCGCCAACTTGTAAATTGTAAAACGGGATGCAAGAGGAGAAGTCAGGCTCTGACTTTAAGCCTGGCTCTGAGTCGTTATGCTTTGGAAGAGGGTAGGGAGGGACACCCAGAGCCACCATGGCCTCACGTATCAGCATTAACATTGGGTAAAATTGGGGGCCGTGGCCACAGATGGGAGCCCAGGGAGGTGCCTGGGTGGGTGGAGGCTGGAAGCAAGCCTCACAGCCCCGGGGCAGCTCTGGGGGAAGCACTAGCACCCTAGAGGGTGAGGGGTCCACCAAGGGGAGGGGAGTACCTGCATGAGGTGAGGGCAGCAGTGAGACATTCACAGGAAAGGGCGTTTGGAAACGGAGGTTTGTATTCCTAGGGCTTCCACTCCACTCTTGCTTTGATGATCTCCACAACTGTCTCCTGTCTATTCCTTCTGTTCCATGCACATCCAACTGCCAATGACATCTCTATGTGAACATCCCACATATACCTTAAACTCAACCCATACTGGACAAAACCACCTGGCCACACATTCCCAAATGCCTCCTCTTCATCCCCCTCTCTCCAGTGGCTTTGTGTTCCACTGTCCCTCAACCTAAAACATCTCATGGTGCTCGGTCACTCCTCAGCTGCTTCATCCATCCAAGCCATCAAGAACCCCATTCACTGTATCTTCAGAAATGTCTCACGGTTCTCCCAACTTTACATGCATCACATGTTGTGACTTCAGCCCTTTTCTTCCCATTTTAATTGCTGACAAAATTTATTCTCTTAATCTGTCTTCAAACCAATGTCCAAAATGTCTTTCAAAACACACTTTTTCATGGCGCATCTCCACACTAGAAATGTCTAGATTCCCTGACACATGCAGAACAAAGCCCACACCCTTAGACCTGAAGGAGACAAAGGCCCCACAGAAATGGGACCCATGGGTCTTACCTCCTCACACCCCTTCCCATGAACACCCACATTCCAGCCCCCGGGACTACCTGACCCTGCCAAGCAGAGAATGACCACATGTTCACGCCTGGACTCCCACTCTTTCCTCATCTGCAAGCCCCTCTCCCGCTCTCTGGCATACCCATTTCTATCTCTTAGAACCCAACTCAAAAGCAATTCTCCTGGTGAGGGCTGGGCCCCATGGCAGCACCAGTTGCTCCATTTTCTGAGATCTTTTAGGACTTTCATATTGTCTAGTGAGGCACTTGTCATGTACATAGCAGGCATTCTCTCTCTTCCTCTGAGAGTCTAAGGGGAGGCTTCTGAGTATCACTACTCACCCTTCAGTTGGGTACGAGATGTTGTGTGTGGCTGATCTTTCTAATGAGGGAAGCTCTGAAAACTACATTGGTCCATAAACTTCTAGGGAGGGACGTACCTACCGAGGCTACTGTGTAGGTACAACGCATGCTTATTGAATGAACGAGATTGTCCAGAAATGCTGGGAAATCAGGCTGGACAGGAAGGCTGAGACCATAAGACTCAAGGCCTTGAAATCCAGTAAGAGGAGTCTGGCCTTGACATGCTAGGTTGGATTTCTTTGGAACTGAGGATCTATTTGGGCTTCTTCCATAGTCATCAGAGGCCAGAGTTACTGTAGCAGCTCTTTGAATAAGTAATTTTAAAGCTCAATAGTGTTTTAGAATACATTTTCCATTCCCTTGTGGTTCATGTGGACATGGAAGTAAGGCCCAAGCACTTCAGTGTTGAGTGGAAAAGCCAGGTCTTTGAGCACTTTCAGTCCAGTCAAGGCTGAACTCAGGTCATACAATGCCAGGGCAAAGAGAAGAGGAGTGTAACACACACCTGCAGGGAAGGGGCAGTTGGCAATGACAACGGGCTTATCCCCTCTCTCCTGACAATGCTGCCCACATGCCCTTGCTCTGCATATAGCCCATCAGGTAGCAATGACAGATAGATGATATACATAAATCAACCAATCGATCGATTGATAGGTAGATGATATATGAGTAGATGCATGGATGGAAGGATGAATGAACACATGCTTACATACATACATAGATTTGGATATAGATATAAAATAAATAAACCAGGAATTTTGGTGCTATGTTGAAGTGAAACTAAAATGAGAAGATTGCCTACACATATGTTATGTGTTATGTATTATCCTACTGAGTACACCTACTATTATACAGCACCCTACTGAGAAAAGCTGTTTCTTATGAGATATACCAGTCAAAAATTTGTACCTCTGAGCAGTCTTAAGATGGTTTATTTCCCTGCTCCTGGCTAGCCCCTAGTCATGAAAATCACTGCATTTCTGAAGAAACAACTGGCTACATCAGCCTCTGACTGTTTAATGTAGCTCCAGACCATCCAAGAGTGAGACCTCCAAGGCAGAGTGTAGCTGCAGGTAAGAGGCAGAGGCAACAGGGCATCTTCGCAGGTTCAGGAGCCAGGAAGGATGGTGTGGCACAGTGAGAACAACGCTAAGTTCAGACAAGCTTGGATTTGGATCCCAGCTTCTTTTATTATACTAACTGTGTGACCTTAGTCAAACTGCCTAACTCTATTGAGCCTCAATTTACCCATCTGTAAAGTGGGTATAATTTTCCCTACAAGGCAGCTTAGTTACCCCACCTATAGAGGAAATCCTTTCGTGTGTGTGTGTGTCTGTGTGTGTGACTCCAACTCTTCTATTTGTTTTTACATCTTCAAGCATGAGGCCAATTTCTTTTCTGATTAAATTTGTGTAGTATTTGTCATGATTTTACTAGCAACTTAATGATGAACCTATGCTATGTTTATGGGAATAATCAGAAAACATGATTTATAACTACATCATCCAGTGATTCATCAAGAACTAGAAAATGCCTTGAAAGTTCATGGAGTTCTTTCTTTTTTTTTTAATACCACTTTCTTTCTTTTTCTTTTTCTTTTTTTTTTTTTTTTTTTTTTTTTTTTGAGACAGAGTCTCACTTTGCCCAGGCTGGTGCAATCTCAGCTCACTGCAACCTCCGCCTCCCACGTTCAAGCGATTCTCCTGCCTCAGCCTCTCGAGTAGCTGGGATTACAGGTGCCCACCAACACGACTGGCTAATTTTTTGTATTTTTAGTAGAGATGGGGTTTCACCATGTTGGCCAGGCCGGTCTTGAACTCCTGACCTCAGGTGATCCACCCGCCTTGGCCTCCCAAAGTGCTGTGATTACAGGTGTGAGCCACTGCGCCTGGCCTTTAATACTACTTTCAGTGATACCTGTGTCATTCACAGGGCTCTTCAGGGCAGACAATATTGGAATCTCTTTTGCACAATAGTGCAGTTTAGACTTCTGGATGTGAAGACAGTGAGGCCAGCAGTACCACGTTTCTCAGCAGTCGCCTCCACACCATGGGCTGAGTGTGTTCCCAAATCCATGTGTCAAAATCCTCACCTCCCAGGTGATGGTGTTAGGAGGTGGGGCCTTGGGGTGGCGATGAGGCCATGAGGGTGGGGCCCTCATGAGGGGATTAGTGCTCTTGAAAAAGGGGCCCAAGGAAGCTTATTCACACGTCCACCATGTGTGGACACAAGCAGTCGGAGCCGTCTGCAACCTGGAAGGAGGCCCTCCGCAGAAGCCGACCATGCTGGCACCCCAATCTTGGATTTCCAACCTCCAGAACTGTGAGAAATGAATTTCTGTTCTTTATAAGTCACTCCGTTTACAGTAGTTTGTTACAGTAGCCCACACAGACTAAGACACACAATCTCCTCACTTTATTTCTTTTAGCCTCAAACTCTCCAATGGAGACCTGCCTTGCCTATCTCAGAAGATTCATGTAAATGTTGAATAAAAACATGCACACACTTGACCAACATGTGGGCACTGTTATCATCTACACAAAATGTTCTTACGGAAGCATTGTTTTGTGTGTTTGTTTCCATCTGAAGTGGAAGAGGGTGGGCCACTTTTTCTGTAATGACCCTTTATGTTTTTGAAGGTTTAGTAAAATAAATGGATTATGGGAATTTGTAACTCTCCAGGGACTTCATCTGCATCTGTTTTGTTCCTTTGGCAGAAATTAAAACCAAAATAATTACCCAGTTAACTCTCACCTTCAGCAGCAATGACTCATATTTTCTTAAAACTAACTCTAGAAAATAAACGGATGATTTCTAGGCAGGCCCATAATTTATGATCACACCTAATAGAAATAGTTGTGTATAAATGTAATTTACTGAGATAAACCCAGTTGCTGATGTCAATCTGTGACCCCCAGTAATCCCAGCCACAGTGTGGCATCCCAGACACTGGGCCCTCCTCCAACTCCAGGGTAACGTGCTACAAATGAAGGTGCCAACCAGAGCTTCTGAGTGGTGTTGGTGGAGCCTGGGGCCCCACGAGTGGGCAGCAGCTTCTCCTTGCTCGCTGGGCAGCCGGGACCCTCAGACACAACAGACCTTCCAGGAACTCTGGAATGTCTTAAAAATCAATGCCAGCATTTCCCTGTGCTCCCCATGACAAGAAAAAAACACTGCTGTGAAACAGACAGCTTTTAAAACATGATGCGTCTAAAAGACAAAGGAAATGTGCTTTTACACAGTTGTCAACCTCAGTCACAGCAACACACGTTTCCTCGTCATCAAAAATATCTCCCAAGAACTTGATGTGATAACACATATGTAAAATGCAATGAAGACAGTTGTTCCTTTAGAAGGCTTAGGTAAAAACTCGAATATGGAGAAAAGCCTAGTAGGCAGACTGGGAGGAACTCACTCAATGCCATACATTGTATCTACTGTTTGCATTCCACCCGGAAATGGGATGAGTGCGCTCACTAAGGTGATAAGGCAAATAGCAAGGGGGCGTGGAGATGGAGCTCACACACTGACTGGCGGTGTGCAGAAGGAAAAGGTATATGTTATGGTTCATTGAAAGTGTTCACTGCCTTTGGGAAAAATTTCCTAACATTTATTTTTTATACGCTTTATGTCAGTACATCGTAAATTACAAAATGGCAAGAATAGAGACAAATGGCTTTGAGAACTCACTACATGCAAGGGACTGTGCTAAGCACGTTAAAAACATGGCAAGTGATTTTAAGCTTTCTAAGAGACAATCGATTTTTAAACTGCTTTAGTTTTTACAAAAGTGAGTATCTTCTCCTTTTGTTAGGAAAGTAAATAAAAATGCTTTGAGGAGATTTGCTCTTCACAACATCAGTGAAGAATTTAGCTAATTTTTTTTTTTTTTTTTTGCCTTTATGGTCTAGGACTCGAAAACAGTGGATTTCACAGCAAACATAGTATCGATCCCAAAACAGTGAAAAAAAAATCATGGGCTTTAGCAAACTTGGGTTCAATCCCAAATTCAGCTCCTAGCCACTACTCAACCTTAGCCAGAGCCTCTGTTTCCTCATCTTCTAAAACAGACTTGTAATCTTCACACATTGAGTTATTTCTAATAATAATAAACACAGGTAGCTAATGCTCATAGAATGCTTACTGTTCACCAGACAGTTTTGTAAGCATTGCACTATTTGGTTCATTTATTCTCCATAACAAATCCATAGCATGGTTAGAGATGTCTAGTTGTTCCACAGGACTGCACTATCTTTTTATTCTGGGTATATGGGTAGAATCTATCCCCAGACTCCCTGTATGCCAGAAGAGCCACGTGACTGATTGAGAGCCAGCAGAGTGTGAATGGCAGTGGCGTGTATCTTGCAGACCTGGCCTGTAAGAATAGCCCAGCAACCTCCTCCATCACACTCAAGCATCCTCCTCCATCACACTCAAGCATCCTCCTCCATCACACTCAAGCATCCTCCTCCATCACACTCAAGCATCCTCCTCCATCACACTCAAGCAACCTCCTCCATCACACTCAAGCATCCTCCTCCATCACAGTCAAGCATCCTCCTCCATCACACTCAAGCATCCTCCTCCATCACACTCAAGCATCCTCCTCCATCACACTCAAGCATCCTCCTCCATCACACTCAAGCATCCTCCTCCATCACACTCAAGCAATCTCCTCCATCACACTCAAGCATCCTCCTAGAAATGTGGAAGGAAAAGGACCCCAGAGCAAAACCGGAAAGCCACATGCTGACATGGGCAGAACTTTCATCAGCTTAGGCTCCTGGATGACTGACAGACGGGTGAGCAAGAAAGACACTTCTGTTGGGTTTGAGCCATTACATATTTTGAGTCTCCTGTTAGCCCACCTTAATCCAAGCCCGTACTGAAGGACAGGCTTATTAACTTCCCTAGGTGCATACCATTAGCAATGGCAGAAAAGGGATTTGAATCTAGTCTAAATGAGATCAGATTTGCAAGACTCCTGGCAAATAGAATGTGTCCAATGTATACCACCCATTACTGTACACTGTGTTCACATGAGAATGAGATACTAGCCAACAAAATCAGAAAGGTGGGTGCCTCGAGGAGGACAAAGCACTCACGGCTTAAGGGTCCGGCCTTTCCAAGCAGGACATGCAGCTCCTGTCCTGGCACTGGGGACGTGGCATTGCCTAAGTAGGGCTCTCTGTGCAGGGAGCGAGGTGGCTTTAGAGTTGCAGACTTAAACGGGGGCAGCAAAAGGATGCCCTAAGCATTGGAAACATGATGCAGCTGGAAGACAGGTTTGCTTAAAAGCCAAACCAAGAGAAAGACAGGAAAGGATGAGTTCACTGGAGCTGACTTCTGGGAAGAACCAGGTCATCCAAAATGCTCATCAGAACCAACTTGTGCCCAGTTTTAGAGAACAAAGACAAGTCTATAAAACCGCAATGTGTCGGCTCTGTGTCCCTCTTTCGAGACCATCTGACACTGCCACCTGGCATTAACAAACGCGACCGTGGTTTTCCTCCTCTATTGCTACACAGCACTTAAACTAAAACCAGTGGCCATCTTGGGCTGGAAACTCAATCACATCGATGCTGCCCTTCTCGTCTGCTCATTTGCGCTCCTTCTTGCTGTTGATTTCCTCCCGTTTTGTATTTTATAACACAGCAATGTGTAATCTAAAAGGGCCCTTTTGCCCTTGTGGATAGAGATTGAGATTTGCTAAAGTGAGTTTATCTTTGCTCAATTTGGGGACTGTAGATCCTAGTCTGCGTGTCATGTTGGGACCCTGCAGAAAGTGACAGAAGCCTCCAGCAGGGTGGCTTGTTTCCACACCGTCCAGGTTGTGATTTTGTCATCATGCATTTAGAATATGTGCAGATGCCCATCAGAAAGCACATGGGGGTGTGGGCTGGGCCCCTGTGAGAGTCCACAGTTTTTGATAAAAACAGATATAAAATCCCAGGAAACATAGAGCTGAAAATTCATTGTTGGGGGCGTCACTAACAGTCACTCTCTCTCTTCCTCTCAAGTGACACGGGAAACTTTAGATTGCCAAACTAACTCCCTCCTGGCTCTTCCATCTGGTACTTCCCACCGTCACCAGCAACGAACCTTGCTAAGGCGAGAATCCTGCATGCCCAGGCGGTCTCACAAGACAGCCAAATCCTGTAGCTCTGTGAACAGTCACTTCCAGGGGCACAAATGTGTCTCCTCTAACTCCTTTCTCTGTGCCAGATTTCATGACATCTGCAAAAATATTTAGAATATAGACCTATAATGAACTTTTATTTATACCATTGTATTTCAAGATGGTAAACTCAGTGCATATCATGATAGCTTTTACAATGGACTTATTTTGAAATAAATCACAGTCAATATAAACAAGAATATATATTTATAGAAAAATTACAAAATATTTTGTAATTTGTGAATCATTACTCTTCTTTGAAACCAATGAGAACAAAGACACAACATACCAGAATCTCCGGGACACATTTAAAGCAGTGTGTAGAGGGAAATGTATAGCACTAAATGCCCACAAAAGAAAGCAGGAAAGATCTAAAATCGACACCCTAACATCATAATTAAAAGAACTAGAGAAGCAAGAGCAAACACATTCAAAAGCTAGCAAAAGGCAAGAAATAATTAAGATCAGAGCAGAATTGAAGGACATAGAGATATAAAAAACCCTTCAAAAAAATCAACGAATCCAGGAGCTGCTTTTTTGAAGAGATCAACAAAATTGATAGACTGCTAGCAAGACTAATAAAGAAGAAAAGAGAGAAGAATAAAATAGATGCAATAAAAAATGGTAAAAGGGATATCACCACCGATCCCACAGAAATACAAACTACCATAAGAGAATACTATAAACACCTCTGCACAAATAAACTAGAAAATCTAGAAGAAATGGATAAATTCCTGGACACATACACCCTCCCAAGACTGAACCAGGAAGAAGTTGAATCCCTGAATAGACCAATAACAGGCTCTGAAATTGAGGCAATAATCAATAGCCTACCAACCAAAAAAAGTCCAGGACCAGACGGATTCACAGCCAAATTCTACCAGAGGTACAAGCAGGAGCTGGTACCATTCCTTCTGAAACTATTCCAATCAACAGAAAAAGAGGGAATCCTCCCTAACTCATTTTATGAGGCCAGCATCATCCTGATACCAAAGCCTGGCAGAGACACAACCAAAAAAGAGAATTTTAGACCAATATCCCTGATGAACATCGATGCAAAAATCCTCAATAAAATACTGGCAAACTGAATCCAGCAGCACATCAAAAAGCTTATCCACCACAATCTAGTTGGCTTCATCCCTGGGATGCAAGGCTGGTTCAACATACGCAAATCAATAAACGTAATCCATCTTATAAACAGAACCAAAGACAAAAACCACATGATTATCTCAACAGATGTAGAAAAGGACTTCCACAAAATTCAACAGCCCTTCATGCTAAAAATTCTCAATAAACTAGGTACTGATGGGATGTATCTCAAAATAATAAGAGCTATTTATGACAAACACACAGCCAATATCATACTGAATGGGCAAAAACTGGAAGCATTCTCTTTGAAAACTGGCACAAGACCAGGGATGCCTTCTCTCACCACTCCTATTCGACACAGTGTTGGAAGTTCTGGCCAGGGCAATCAGGCAGAAGAAAGAAATAAAGGGTATTCAATTAGGAAAAGAGGAAGTCAGATTGGCCCTGTTTGCGGATGACATGATTGTATATTTAGAAAACCCCACTGTCTTAGCCCCAAATCTCCTTAAACTGATAAGCAACTTCAGCAAAGTCTCAGGATACAAAATCAATGTGCAAAAATCACAAGCATTCCTATACACCAATAACAGACAAACAGAGAGCCAAATCATGAGTGAACTCCCATTCACGATTGCTTCAAAGAGAATAAAATACCTAGGAATCCAACTTACAAGGGATGTGAAGGACCTCTTCAAGGAGAACTACAAACCACTTCTCAACGAAATAAAAGAGGACACAAACAAATGGAAGAACACTCCATGCTCATGGATAGGAAGAATCAATATCGTGAAAATGGCCATACTGCCCAAGGTAATTTATAGATTCAATGCCATCCCCATCAAGCTACCAATGACTTTGTTCACAGAATTGGAAAAAACTACCTTAAAGTTCATACGGAACCAAAAAAATCCTGCATTTCCAAGAAAATCCTAGCCAAAAGAACAAAGCTGGAGGCATCACACTACCTGACTTCAAACTATACTACAAGGCTACAGTAACCAAAACAGCATGGTACTGGTACCAAAACAGAGATATAGGCCAATGGAACAGAACAGAGCCCTCAGAATTAATACCACACATCTACAACCATCTGACCTTTGACAAACCTGACAAAAACAAGAAATGGGGGAAGGATTCCCTATTTAATAAACGGTGCTGGGAAAACTGGCTAGCCATATGTAGAAAGCTGAAAATGGATCCCTTCCTTACACCTTATACAAAAATTAATTCAAGATGGATTAAAGACTTAAATATTAGACCTAAAACCATAAAAACCCTAGAAGAAAACCTAGGCAATTCCATTCAGGACATAGGCATGGGCAAGGACTTCATGACTAAAACACCAAAAGCAATGGCAAAAAAAGTTAAAATAGACAAATAGGATCTAATTAAACTAAAGAGCTTCTGCACAGCAAAAGAAACTACCATCAGAGTGAGCAGGCAACCTACAGAATGGGAGAAAATTTTTGCAACCTCCTTATCTGACAAAGGGCTAATATCCAGAATCTATAAAAAACTTAAACAAATTTACAAGAAAAAGTCAAACAACCCCATCAATAAGTGGGTGAAGGATATGAACAGACACTTCTCAAAAGAAGACATTTATTCAGCCAACAGAAACATGAAAAAATGCTCATAATCACTGGCCATCAGAGAAATGCAAATCAAAACCACAATGAGATACCATCTCACACCAGTTAGAATGGCAATCATTGAAAAAGTCAGGAAACAACAGGTACTGGAGAAGATATGGAGAAATAGGAATGCTTTTACACTGTTGGTGGGACTGTAAACTAGTTCAACCATTGTGGAAGACAGTGTGGGGATTCCTCAAGGATCTAGAACTAGAAATATCATTTGACCCAGCCTTCTCATTACTGGGTATATAGCCAAAGGATTATAAATCATGCTGCTATAAAGACACATGCACACGTATGTTTATTGTGGCACTATTCACAATAGCAAAGACTTGGAACCAACCCAAATGTCCCTCAATGATAGACTGGATTAAGAAAATGTGGCACATACATACTGTGGAATACTATGCAGCCATAAAAAAGGATGAGTTCATGTCCTTTGTAGGGACATGGATGAAGCTGGAAATCATCATTCTGAGCAAACTATTGCAAGGACAGAAAACCAAACACCGCATGTTCTCACTCACAGGTGGGAATTGAACAACGAGAACACATGGACACAGGAAGGGGAACATCACACTCTGGGGACTGTTGTGGGGTGGGGGGAGGGGGAGGGATAGCTTTAGGAGATATACCTAATGCTAAATGACGAGTTAATGGGTGCAGCACACCAGCATGGCACATGTATACATATGTAACTCACCTGCACATTGTGCACATGTACCCTAGAACTTAAAGTATAATAATAACAAAATAAAATAAAATAAAAATTTTTTAAAATTAAAAAAGCATTACATGAAAACAGGCACATTGGACAATAAAGAGGTAAACCACATAAGCATATTTAGACAGCAAATTACATTTGAAGTATAAAACAATTGGATATTGGCATTTTAGAGAAATGGAGACTTTCTAGGAAAATGTGTGGCCAATTCCAGGTTATATCTTAGTTCAGAAATAAAGTTTTTGCTTTATTCAATAAAGAGAAGAATGTAAAGCTAGCTGGGCACTTGATCTTCGTAAGATACAGATCTCTCCTGTTCCGGAACTTATATATTTGGCTCAAGGGAAGTTGTTCCCCAATGTTTTTGTTAAGTAATGATAATATTTTTCTTATTGAGGGGAGTTAAAACTTTTTTATTAATCACCAAGCGGTTGTCATTAACAAGGGGTTTCATATGTGGAAGACCCCAGAGGCCTCTCTTATCTTCTAGGCAGTTCAGTATTTCTGTGGAGTCTCCTGATGAGATTTTTCAACACCGTGAAGTAACATATGTATAATGGGCCTGTCTAACCTCCTCCCACCATCCCAGGGCATCTGAGACACGCAGTGTTCTCCATCCCAGGGTTCTCCAGTGTGATTGCCACTTCGGCTGAGCTGAGCTCTCTCATTATAACCTAAAGAATAAATAAACGCAGTTACTGGGAAATTTTAAGAGCTAAAACAAATAGCATGAGGGCAACTACAATTATCATTTTAAAATTTCTGTCGAAAGCTATGTTCCCAATTCAATTTGTAAATACGACTTGCCTACCTTTATGAAGACCATCTTTCCCATTTGGTTTCAGCATTCCTCATGTGAAACTCCTGCCACTGAGATCATTTAGAATATAGATTTTGAAATCTTAAAATCAAGGCTAACCCTTGAGATGTTTGACCATTTTACCTTGGTTCTCTAGACCATAAAGCGAGAGCCAGCAAGTTTTGAGAACTAGGGTTATAAAGTTCCAGAAGCTGGAAAGCTGAAAATTAATTTTGGATAATATCTCTAGCAGTATATCTCCTATTTTTTTCCAGAAGTAAAATGGGAAAACTTAGTGATAGGTGACAGAACAAAGATTGATATTAAAGCAGAGAACATAGATTAAATATATTTTATAAACTATAAAGCTCTCTATAAATGTTACTTCTTACTTATGCTACTCTGATGCTCGTCATTTATCATGGATAAAAGGGAGTGGCAGAATATTTGAGTTTCTAGCAAAAGACCAACGTGTGTAGAATAGCATTGTCTGTGCTCTACAAATTATTTTTTCTGAATGCAAGATTCGTGTGTGCTTTTCCTAGAGTTATAAAAAGAAATATGTCCCTAACATTGGGTCCCTGCTTTGTTTCTGCTAACAATGGACCACTGAGCTAGACATGCTCCTTAAAGTCACATAATGTGATCAGCAAATTAGATAAATAGGAGGCAAAAAGGTACAACTTTGCAGATTTATGAACTCTTTAATCTTTTAAAAGAAGCATTCTGAGTATAGTATAGTTGCTCTCAAGGTATTGGATAGAGGAGACTGGCTGTTTGCATCTACAGAAGTGAGAAATTGCGGGAAGGAAGGACGCAGACACTCAGGTGGAGCTGAATGAAGCAGTGGGTGATAAGAGGGGAGGTGGCTGCTGCCCTGATCTTCGTGTATTTACAACCTGGCAGTTGGCTGCTCTCCAGTCATTTAATCTGGCATTTAATCACAAATAATAGTTCTATTGAGTACCACAAACTCAATACTTCTTACACTCTTTTATTCAGGCAAAGCTCCAATAGAGAGTATTCTGTTTGTTTAATGCTTTCAATGTCTATTCAGTTAAATCAGATTTACAAGGTTATGGTATTCCCCAGCCACTTCAGAGCACTCTCTTATCTGGCAGTCTCTCTCTGCTGAGGAAATATGCTTATCAACTTAAGTAGCATTTTCTTAAAAGAATAAAACATGAATATGGTCAAATGCTTACATCCTCTGACTTCCTAGGGGCGACCACCCCATCATCGACATCTCAAGGCCACCCACATACCAGCCCACAAGCTTCAAAGCATAATTCTTTGATTTATATAGAATCTAGAAATGTTAAGAAAACAGCTTTGGAGGGTAACTTTCAGCATGAAAGCAACAAACAGTACATAAACTCTGGTTCCTGGCAATAAGTGGGCAAATGACAATCTCCACTGCAGCTGAGGCTTCAGACCTAGAGAAAAGTGGTTGAAGGTGGAAGGGGGTTACATAGTGATAAATCTTTTTTATGTATATAAAAAAAACCCCACATTCTCACTAAAGAAAAAATAAGAGGCAAGCAAAAAGAGAGTTAAACAAAAATGCTCACAATACCAGATACACCCTCTGTTGGCACCTCAGTATATATTTTTCCAGACAGAATTTTATGTTCACATGTACATGTTCTTACCAAAATGGAATCGTAATATAATATTTTATAACCCATTTTACCTTTTGAAACTTACAACTTTGTGAACAACATTCCATGTCAATAAATATTCACCTATAAAATTTTGAAATGGTTGGATAGTATTTCAGTGTATAGGTGGGCCATATTTATTTAATCATCTCCATATCATTACTTAGAAAATCCCCCATTTCGAATATTATTAACATCTAAAATTAAAAGTTTTGCCTTTAAATGTTAATTATTTCCTTTGGATAGTGTCTAATCATGGCGTTTGCAGATGTATTACAAACACATCTGAGGGCCAAATTGTCCTTCAGAAAAACCGCATCAACACCTAGGCCTACCCAAGTAAAAGGGAGTGCTCACTTTCCTACACAGGAAATGATTATTTTTATATTTATCAATATTATACATGAGAAATGCTATCCCTACTGGCTTAATTTTTATTTGTTCAATGAGTAGCCAGGGTCAAACTTTTATCCCTATTTATATTAACTATTAGAACTGCATCAGCGCACATTGTCTTACCACAGAGAAGATTCAACTCTACGAAGTGGGAAGACTGCCTTGTGTACTCACATTCTTTGTTACGAGTGTATAATCACGAAAGAAAGAAAAAAAAGAAGAAAGAGAAGAGAGGGGAGGGGAGGGGAGGGAAGGGAAGGAGAGGAGAAGGAAAAGAGGGAGGCAGGGAGGGAGGGAAGGAAGAAGGAGATGAGAGGAGGAGGAGGAAGAGAGGGGGGCAGAGAGGGAGGGAAGGAGGAAGGAAGGGAAGGGAAGGAAGAAAAAAGCTTACTGGGCCTTCTACAGGCTCAGTAGGTTCTTATAAATATAAATGAGGTTATATATTAGGCTAAAAGTGTAAGGACTTCTGAAGGCCTAAAAGAATATTCTTAACCAGCTCTGATGTCAGAAATGCATAATAGAATTGTAATCGGTTGAGTTGAGTTCCCACAAAATTCCAATACTGATGTCCTCACCTAGCAGAGCCTCCAAACGTGACCTTATTTGGAGGCAGGGCCTTTGCAGAGGTAACCAAGTTGAAATGTGGTGCTTAGGGAGGTGCTAATCCGATATGACTGATGTGCTTATAAAAAGTGGGAATTTGGACACACACCCTAACAGAACCATAGAAACATAAAGACAACCATCCCCAGGCCAGGGAGAGGGCCCTGGAACAGCTTCTCCCCGACAGCCCTCACTCAGAAGGAGCCCACCCTGCTGACGCCTTGATCTCAGACTTCCAGTCTCCAGAACTGTGAGAGAGTAGATTGTTGTCATTTAAGCCCCCAGTGTGCAGTACTTTGCTGCAACACCCCAAGGAAACTAATATGAATTCACCTTTATTTCAAAGAGATACCAACAGGTATGATTTCAGCCACCTGGTCCCTCACCACTATAATAGTAACAGAGGTATGAAATACTGTTTATGAGGAACCTCACACATGCTACCTCCAATTCTAGAAGAGTTTTCCAAAATAAGCACTGGGCTCTCAAGTTTCCAGGTGGTAGAGTGAAGTTCAGGGGAGTGAAGCCATGTGTCTAAAGCCATGTGAACAGCACAGGTGTGAGCCCGGTTGTAGTTGCACCAGGTCCCTGTGATCCCAAGACACAGGCTTTGAGTTCTGATGTGCTGACATCATCCCTGACTGCATAAGAGTCTAAGAAAATGAAATAAGCCTTTGTTGCTTTTTTATTAGTAAATACATTTTAAGGATTTTAAGAAGTGAAAATGAATACTCTGCAGAGCAGCTGTCCCCAACCTTTTTGGCACCAGGGACCGGTTTTGTGAAAGACGATTTTTCCATGGGCAGGGGTTGGGGGCGAGATGGTTTCAGGATGAAACAGTTCTACCTCAGATCATCAGTCATTAGATTCTCATAAGGAGCACACAACCTAGATCCCTCACACACACGGGTTCACAGTAGGGCTCTGATATGGTTTGGCTGTGTCCCCACCCAAATCTCATTTGTAGTTGAAATGTAATTCCCATAATACCCATGTGACATGGGAGGGACCTGGTGAAAGGTGATTTAATCATGGGGGTGTTTACCCTCATGCTGTTCTCATGATTGTGAGTGAGTTCTCATGAGATCTGATGGTTTTATAAGGGGCTTTTCCCCCTTTGGCACTTCTCCTTGCTGCCACCATGTGAAGAAGGACATGTTTGCTTCCCCTTCCCTTATGATTGTAAGTTTCCTGAGGCCTCCTCAGCCATGCTGAACTGCCAGTCAGCTAAACCCCTTTCCTTTATAAATTACCCAGTCTCGGGTATCTCTTTAATGGCAGCATGAGAGTGGACTAATACAGGTTCACACTCGTACGAGAATCTAATGCAGCCGCTGATCTGACAGGAGGCAGAGCTCAGACAGTAATACGAGCAATGGGGAGCATCTGTAAATAGAGATGAAACTTCACTCTCTCACACTCACATGCCACTCACCTCCTGCTGAGTGGACTGGTTCCTAACAGGCCATGGACCACTACCAGACAGTGGCCTGGGGGGTTGGGGACCCCTGCTGTAAAGGGAAGCCTAAAAGATGTTTAGACTCATCTATTATAGAATGGCTTGACTACCAGCTATACATTACATTTTCCATAGCCTAATTAATTCAACAAGTGTCCTATCTTCTTTAAAATGCAGACTTTGGTGTTTTCTCAGGACATGCTATGGAGCCCATGGGCTGAAGTTCACATGAGCCCGATTACGCCAGCAAAGATCACATCACGGTGACAGGGAAACGCTCGTGGCACATAGCAGTGGCCAGGCGCTGCTTGGAGCATATTGCACATGTGAACACATTCCACTGCCCACACACCTGCTGAGGTGGATGCCATCCTGTTCCCCATTTCCCGGGCAGGAAATGAGACTTGCCTGACACGCAGTGACTGGCACAGGCAGAATATGGGTGCAGGCCACACTGTCTCTCCACCCTGCCTTCACCCCATGGCAGCAGGGCTGTCTGCTCCAGGCTGTGTCCCCCCGCGGGCTCAAGGTCTTCAGCAAATCCTAGGTCCTGTGTGAACCTCAGCATTCAGTTGGTAACTAGGAAATCCTGTGTCCAGACCTGAGTGCCCGCTGCACAGCCAAGCAGGCCTGTGAGTTCATGGGTTAAAAGCATCTTCGCTTCAACAGAATGCAGCCCTTTTCGAACTGTGCGGTGCTGCACACGGGGCCACAATGTGTCTGCCTGAGGCTCTCGTGCTGAGGCCTCTCCTGCTGGGCCTCAGTTCAGCTACGGGGGGACCTCGGTCCTGGAGGCTCCTCCCTGATCCCAAACACTGGCTTTCTCGGCTTCCCTGGCAACTGACCAGGACCCAAATTTGTTATCTCCAGGCACAAAGGACAGCTTTTCCATTCAATTAAGCTTCCCTTAAAGAAAGAGGGCAAGGCAGAGTCTCCACTAAAGGGAGCAATGCTGCTCATGTTTGCAGTTTTACAGAAGTTAAAAAAAACCTCCCACAAACAGGAGCTAATTTTATAGCTGTTCTCCCTCTCTGTCTCTCTCTCTCTCTATATATATATATATGTATACACGCAAACAGATATCTGCTTTTATCATCATTGTGAGGTATATTTTTAAAAATATATATCTATGTATAATACAGCATCTTTCTACATAAACATATATAGCTAGATATAAAAAACATATCTATATATTTTTAAATATATATCTCATTATCGCCCGGGGGGGCTGTTCATCTGAAAATCTGTTTCTAGGTTTAATCTACTCGGGTTACTTAAGTTTTCTGGTTTTCTGATTTTCCACATATGGATTTGTTTTTTTCTGAATAACCCAATCAATCTGAAGTTACAAAGTAATTACAAATAAGTGGGTTTGATTTATGTATTATTCTGATTCAAACTTAAATAGCCCAGCCTAAGCAACATGGCAAAATCCCATCCTTACAGAAACAATACAAAAAATCCCATGCCCGGCCAGGAATTACAATTTGAGATGAGATTTGGGTGGGAATACAGAGCCAAACCTATCAAAGACCCAGGAAGGATTGACCTGACCTCTAAGCAGGGCTTCTCTCCTGTGGCTTCCAGCCCTGGCCAGGCTACTCCTCCTCAGCCCCCCAAGAGAAAACATTAGATTCCTCCATGACCTAATTCTGAAATTGCTGCTTCATTCTTCAATTTAAATTATTCTCATTTTTAATAAAAATAATCATAATCCAATTTTACGTGGTAGCCTTTCCACCCATAATTAATAGAATTAATCCAGTGGAACCATTCCTGTTCCCATAGAACCATTTATTAATAACTGAATTATGGGCATGGTGGTGCACGCCTGTAGTCCCAGCTACTCCGGAGGCTGAGGCAGGAGGATCACTTGAGCCCAGGAGTTTGAGGCTTCCATGAGCTGAGATTGCACCACTGCACTCCAGCCTGGGCAACAGCAAGATTCTGTCTCAAAAAAATAAAATGTAAAAAAACATAAATAGCCTCGCTTTAGTCTCCCCTTTCTATGCCTCATCTGTCCCCCAACACCCCCCACCACACACACATGCACACTTGCAAATAAATATCTTTTATTGCACTTCCACCTTCCAGTTTCCTCCACTCAGTACTCATTGAATCCATGAGTCAAAAATAAATACTTTGCCTTCTAAAATTTTGTAAGTGTTCGTGATTTGAAATGAGTATTTTGTTCTAGCAGAGGGTACTACTTGCCATTATTGATAAGCCTGTCAGTATTTCTGTTTTCTGTAGTTTTATTAATTTGTTTTGGTTTTCATTAAATGCTGCTGTTTAAAACAAATCCGTGACATCTGATTTGCACCATTTCAGCAGGTTTTAGCCAGGCAGAAGAAAAATTCTTCATGTATAAGCTTTCTTAGTCCAAAGAAAACGTGGAGAACACCAGCTCTGAGCACTTGCATCAGGAATGCAAACCAAAAGCTATTCAGCCCGGGATGTGTGTGGTGGGGCAGGAGAAGGAATTCATGTAATCCTCAAATGGATTATAAAAAGCAAGGCATTAAGTGTTGGAAAAATCTAGCAATTGGTGTTCAAAGTAAATGGTGAAGTCGTTTTCACTCTAAGAAGGTATGAGAATAGCCAGTGCCAGTGAGAGAGACCACCCAGGAACGGCCAGACAGGCCACGTTGGTTGTAGCCTAAGGAGTGGAGCTGCGGGCATGGGAAAGGCACATGCTGGACTGCCTCACCCTCCCTGCACCTCTGAAGGCTGAGACGCAGGCTTGCAGGTCTGTTTTGTCTACTCCGTGCCCTAGATTCATCCCTGAATAACTTTTTGCCTGGATATAAATCTTTGTGCTTCAGTTTCCGCACTGTAACTATTCCCATCCCCAGCCAGCAACTTCACAAGGATTCTGAGAAGGTGTAAGAAATCAGATGGCAAGTTCCATTAGACTTTTCAAAAAAAGGGTGCCATGTTATTGCACCAACTTAATAATTAGTTATTAGCCATATTATTGGTCATTATTAATCATTATTTATAATTATAATTTTATCATTACAATTTATGTAATATTGGTAGTATGTTGATATGCTCTATATTAACGTTATATTAGTATATTCTCTGTATGATTAACAATTGTATATTAATATATTGTATATATCATGTGTCATATGTATTCATATTATATATACTATTAATGCATAATATGTGTTATATATAATATACAATGTTAATGCATATGCCACATTAACATAAGTTCTACTGTAATTAATTATAGGTAATTGCTAATTATTATGATTAGTTTTTTATTAATCACATTAATTATGGGTATATGATTTAAGAAACCCCAATAAAGATTTGTGAAAGAAACCAAGTTTGGTTTTTCAAACTTCCAAAATGATTCTTAAGGCATTTTTCAAAAAGCAGTCACTTTTGCAATTTCCCTTTACTTAGTGCTTACAAAAGTGGCTGGGAAAACAGATAGAGCAGCAAGACTGAAATAATGGCCCCAGGGGCAATTACAGATCAATCAGATACTAAGTCATCATTGACATCAAAATCCAAATGAAAATATAATTTAACTTGGTAAAAAGAGTTACACATTTTGATTAACTGCCTCTATTTTGTGAAGCAGGAGGCAGGGAAACGTGGTGAGAAGGACACAGGGTTCGGAGTCCATCAACCTTCCTTCAGGCACCCAGCTTCCTGGCATCCCTACTCAGGGACATCCAACCCCTGTCACCCACCTCAACTCCCAGGACTGTCCCAAGCACAAATGTGCACACTCATCATCTACTGCAGCATTTTCTGCAAACCCCGGATGTGCCTGAATGCCGGCACAGCACACTGGTGGTTGCTGGATCCCTGTTAAAGAATTCCAGAAAGCATAAGTAAAAATGTGTCCTTTTTGTTGAACCTTGACAACTCTCTTTTCTTCCAACAAAAGGAATGCCTGTTATTATCCCTAATAAAAGCCATCAGATCTCATGAGAACTCACTCACTAATATAGGAACAAAATTCACTTAGATTGTGTAAGTTGCCTCGCCAAATCTATAAGAGATTCCTTTGCAGCCACCCGAGTTCCCACTCATGAAGTACCACCTGGGTCCGTAAATTCTTCATGAGAACAGATTGAAGGCTGTGGGCTTGGAAGGCATGAGAAACCTCTCACGAGGCATCATTGGCTCTAAATGGAACCTCTGCTTTGCTTAAAATATGGAGTGAAAAACACTATTCAAATTTTATCAACATACGGCAAACAAAATGATTACTTAAGTACGTTCAGTCTGAAGGCGACTCCATACAGAAATGGCTGTGGCAAAAGTGATATCATATCTTGAATAGTCAAGAAAAAAATGACCTTCAAACTCCCTTGTCAACCTTTAGACTAATTAGCTGGAGTCATTATCATTTTGTGAAAATATATAGGAAATTAAAAAGAAATTAGGCATAAAACTGCTAACCTTCCCTGAGTGCCTGTTCTGCTATACGCACTGTTCTGCCCACTGTCTACCCAGGTGACAATGGAAGACTTTTATTAGTTCGTTTTCACACTGCTATAAAGATAATACCCAAGACTGACTAATATATAAAGGAAAGAGGTTTAATTGACTCAGTTCCACATGGCTAGAGAGGCCTCAGGAAACTTATAATCATGGCAAAAAGGAAGTAAGGACCTTCTTCACATGGTAGCAGGAGAGAGAGAGAAAACAAAGTGGGAAGAGCCTCTTGTAAAACCATCAGTTCTTGTGAGAACCCACCATCATGAGAACAGCATGGGGGAACCGCCCCCATGATCCAATCACATCTCTCCCTCAACACGTGGGGATTACAGGTCTCTCCTGTAATTACACATGGGGATTACAATGGCTTGATTTTTTTGTTTTTTGTTTTTTGTTTTTTGAGACGGATCTCACTCTGTCACCCAGGCTGGAGTGCAGTGGCATGATCTCAGCTCACTGCAACCTCCGCCTCCCAGGTTCAAGTGATTCTCCTGCCTCAGCCTCCCGAGTAGCTGGGATTACAGGCACTCACCACCACGCCCAACTAATTTTTGTATTTTTAGTGGAGATGGGGTTTCACCATGTTGGCCAGGTGGTCTTGAACTCCTGACTTCAGATGATCCACTCGCCTTGGCCTCCCAAAGTCCTGGCATTACAGCCATGAGCCACTGTGCCCGGCCAGGGATTACAATTTGAGATGAGATTTGGGTGGGGACACAGAGCCAAACCATATCAAAGACCCAGGAAGGACTGACCTGACCTCTAAGAAGGGCTCCTCTCCTGTGGCTTCCAGCCCTGACCAGGCTACTCCTCCTCACCCCCCAAGGGAAAACATTAGATTCCTCCATGACCTAATTCTGAAATTGCTGCTTCATTCTTCAATTTATTCTCATTTTTAATAAAAATGATCATAATCCAATTTTACATGGTAGGCTTTCCACCCATAATTAATAGGATTAATCCAGTGGAACCATTCCTGTTCCCATAGAACCATTTATTAATAACTGAATTGTGGTTCACAGCACTGAGGGCCTCTTCTTTCCACTGCATCACGAATTGTACAAAGTATTTTCATCTTTATTCCAAGACTGCTATAGGAAAAAAGAAAAGAAAGAAAGTGCTAATGCTAACTGAGGAAAGGATGCACGTTGGAAATTTAAGAAGAAAACCTGGCAGTCTAACTGCAAGTGTATTACACAATCTAGCCTATCTGTGACAACTCCCTCCCCATAAGACAACAGAAAAGATCACCGTGAGATAGAAAGTTGGTTTCTACTCCAAGTAAATTGGTAAGAGCTCTGCAGCAGCTCGGCATGGGAAGGATGTTCATCTGTTAATAACTTAGTTATCACACAATATGAAAATGTTTTATGGTTTTATACCATTTTAATAAATCATATTACCCCAAAAAATCTATGTGTATAACTAGATAATCATCTTTAAACTTATAATTAAAACCTCCCTGGGTTGAGGGAAACATCACACACCAGGGCCTATCAGGGGGTCGCGGGCAAGGGGAGAGAGAGGATTAGGACAAATACCTAATGCACGTGGGGTTTAAAACCTAGATGACTGGTTGATAGGTACAGCAAACCACCATGGCACATGTATACCTATGTAACAAAACTGCATGTTCTGCACATGTATCCCAGGACTTAGAGTAAAATTAAAAAATAAAAAAAAAACCTCCTTGGGTTTCCCTTCTATTTCCTGTATATACAGTATTCAATTGTTACTATACTTTGAATAAAGGAACCATTCTCATTGTGATATACTTTGGGAAAATTCAAATTACCTAAAATCCTTTAAACATTTTTTTCTATGATGGGCTATGTAGTAATGACGTGGATGTGGGAAGTCTGAACTCACCAAGAGAAAGGGAAGAGCAGAGGAAAGTCTTCTGGAGGGGGGAGACCACAGGAGCCAGCACCCACATGGCCTGTGGCCATAGTGGGGGCTGGAAGGCCAGGCCAGGGACAGGTGATAAAGGATCAGGAGGGGCCTGTCCGGTCAGTGTCATTGGCCGTCTCTAAGTCTGGATACAGTATGAGTGACTTTATCCCATCAACTGAGCTCCCGTGGCCTGGCGACTGTTGGGGGTGGGAGTGGGGCACTGGATTAAATGGAGGAGTAAACACGAGAAAGCCACATTAGCAGGTCATTCTGCATGGGGGCATGGTGCCATTGACTAGGCACTAGCTGTAGGCTGAAGGAAGGAACAAAGTCCAGAGTGATTTCATTTTCAGTATCAATTCAGTCAGCGATCAATGTGATGTCAATTGTTAAGAAATCAAGGGTGAGTTCCACCTGCCTCAGGCCGCCTGAGAGCTGTGGGTGGGTGGGAAGCTGGTCTGGGGGAATCTGCAGCCTCCATCCCACCTGCCTGCTGGGAGCGCTCCCTGCTGTCACTTCCAGTGCCCGCCCCCCCCACCCTCCCTGCCCCTGCCTTGGAGCTAGATTCCTTCCCCCAAACCTAAAATAATATCGATAGAGAAGTGCAGGCCTATTATCATGCTTTCAAATCTATTTTCCACATGTGTAGAGGGCAAACAAATCAATAACGTCTGAACAAGTTGAATATGCAAATATTTGCAATCGTGGTTATTAAAACTCGTAATTCAGTCTCCACAGCCTCCGCAGTTTGCACCGCCTTTATTAAAGAAGTTTCTCAATTATTTAGCCGGTATATAATGTGAGATAGAAGTTAATGATATTCATTGCCAGGTCTGAGAACATTCCCTTTCATTTGAAGGATATAAACACTGAATATTTATATTTTAAAGAAAAGGATGAGTTACGCTATATCACTTTTCAATAATTTTATATGAATTCAATAAACAGATTATGAGTATCATAAATCTCATTTTATTAAAATAATGATTATCTGCTGGGTAAAGTGACAGGTTATTTAATCAAATAAGGAAAATATCAATGTTTGATCTATAACACCTTTTTCATTGATCATGGTGTTCCATTTGTATTGGTATCTATGGACCTAATTTTATGATCTCCCATCTATACTAAGGCACATGGGAGAACGCACTCAAGCATCAACAGCTCACAGACATGCCTCACCGGGAGGTGAAGTATAATAGCAAGGAATCAGAAAGCCCCCATTAGAAAACCTACTCCTGCCTCTCTGGGTCCAGAGGTGAGACACACATGTTCCCCAGGCCTCCTTCTCCTCTCACATGTGCTTTTACAGTTTCAGGATTCTATTTGCTTTCCGGAAGTCCTTGGGTTGCAGTGCATCTCTCTTTCCTATGAGCCATCTCCATGTAGGTAAACTGATGAAGAAAAACCAACAATCTTGACGTCAATCCTGGAAATTTTTTAGAAATCCAAAAGAGCAGAGCTCTGGTGTGGAAAGAAAGCAAGGGAAGAAGGAAGTTAAGTAGGAAAAAAGAGAAACTGGAAACACTCCTCCAACTCAGCTCAGATCACACTGGTTAAATAATACTTGATGGTTAGTGAAGAATTTAGAGACAGAAAGGCTGATAAAGTTTTTAATAAAACAGTGCCCACTCAAACGACAATGAAGAGGAAAATAAATTCCAGTAGCTTTACAAATAGAGCATCAGACATATGACAACATAGGTGAATCTTAAAAACACAATGTTGAGTGAGAAAAGCAAGTCCCAGAAGATATGTTTCACCATGTTTATGGTGCTCAGAAATAAACAAAAGAAAACGTGTTTTTAGACTTACGTACTACTGCATTAGGGTTGCCATGACAAAGTACCACATACGAGGTGGCTTAAAAAACAGAAATCTATCATCCCACAGTTCTGGAGGCCAGAAGTCTGAGGATCAAGGTGTTGTCAGGGCTGCTTCCTTCTGAGGTTGAGGGGAGGATTTGGTCCAAGTCTCTCTCATCGGCTTGTGATGGCCATCTCAACGTTCCCATGATGCTCTCCCTATAATGCCTGTGTCTCCAAATTTCCCCTTTTGATAAGGACTCCAGTCATATCAGATTGGGATCCACACTAATGACCCCACTTTAACTTGATTAGTTTTATAAAGCCCCTATCTCTGAGTGAGGTCACATTCTGAGATACAGGAAGTAAGAATGTGGGGAGGAACAAAATTCAACACACAACAAATACATATGTGATAAAACCATTGAAAAGGGCAAGTAGATAATAAACATACAATTCAGAGTCCAGCTCCAAGGGGCTGGCAGGAGAGTGGGTATGAGATGGAGGACAGAGACTAAGGTAAGTTCTAGCCCTTGGGAAGGTGATGGGTTTACAAGTGTTCATGACAGTCATGCTTTACAACTTCAGTGTGTCATGAATTTTGGTTTATGTATGCTGGGTCTATATTTTAAAATATAACAAAAAAGAAAGCAGAAGAAAGTGAGAGAGTGATTTGCACACTTTTTGAAAACAAGAGAATTGAAGTCCCTCAATCATAAACAGAACTCCCCTCCAGCTCAGACGCTACAAAGGTGGCAGCGAGTCTTTATAAAAACTAACAAATAATTAAGGTCAATGGTAAATAGAGTTCCATCTGTGAAACAGTTCCCTTTTTCTAATTATTTATAACTATCATGGTTAGCACTATAGTAAAACACATATCCTTGACTTGATTTAAAGGATCTGGGAAATATGTCATCCTTGATGGTACTATTCATACAAACTGGTTGTTGCCAAGCATCTTCCTGAAAAGGAGATAAACACCACTGGTGGAACTTCAGTTTCTTGACCAAAAGCCTCACGACTGCTTTCAACTTTCAAAGGCACCTTTCCCCATAGAATACTCCAGAATCCTAGGTACATGGCTCCCTGAGGCCCATTTGTATGGGTGTGAACCCTGGAGTCTCAAAACTGTTTTTGTGTTTTTGCTTTCTTCATGGAGGGGTATTTATTCTATTCTGCTAAGTTCTGAATAACAATGACTAACACTTCCATAGCATTTACTGTGTTTCAGGGAGAATTTAAACACTTTGTGCAGATTAATTTACTTAACAACTCAATGAAGTAGGTGCTATTAGCATGCCCACCTCACAGATGGAGAAACAAGATGATTAAGTGGCCAAAGTCTCACAGCTAATAAGTAAAGAGACTGGTATTTAAATCCTTTATCTAAGGATTTAAAGCACACGCAAACCTACAAACCCCCCAACTTGAGGTTCCAGCCTGACTCTCAGTGCTAATTTCAACATCCAGGAGACTGGATTATCTTGTGTAATATTTAAATTCTTCCTGAAGTGAAGCAAAAACTATCCAGATATTACTCAACGAACAGAGAACTAAATTGGAGTTACTTGCTTTATTGACCAAAATAAGTCTTTTTGACATGACTGGCCTTTTAACATGACTAATCAGCTTTCTGCATGTAACTAATAATTGCATAAAATGTGTAGTACATGGTGCTTTGCCCAAACAGAACTTTCACATGGTCTGAAAAAAAACAGCCAGTTCCTTGAGTCACCCACCTCTGACAATCACAGAGCAGAAGGTGAATAGCTATTCAAGGAGACTCGTGAAAGTGCCTTTTACATCCATTTTCACCACGGTCCCAGGCCCATGCATGAGTTTCACCAGACTCCAGAAATTTCCAGGGGACTCTTAAAAGGTTTGATTTGGCCAGGCACCGTGGCTCATGCTTGTAATCCTAGCACTTTGGGATGCCAAGACAGGTGGATCGCTTGAGCCCAGTCTGGGCAACATGGCCAGCCTGGTCTCTACAGAAAAAAGAAAGAAAAGAAAATCCAAAACTTAGCCAGATGCACACCTGTAGTCCCAGCTACTTGAGAGGCTGAAGTGGGAGGATCACTGGAGCCTGGGCGACAGAGGTTGCAGTGAGCCAAGATCACACTGCATTCCAACCTGGGCAACAGAGCAAGACTCTCAAAAAAAAAAAAAAGGCTTGATGTTGTGCCATGAGCTACTGTGTGACCACCCAAACCATGGGCATAACTATCTTTCAGTCTGAAAATATCTTCAAAATATGTAGGTCCTCTTGTCCAGCCAGCTGGTCAGGAGCTTGTCCGCCATGTGAGAGACAACAATAGGCTTACCTTTTCTGGTCTCCTTCTGGCTAGACTCATGCCTGTTTTCTTCTTCCTTTAACACGGGCTTGATCCAAGTTCCCTTAAGCCAGCTGGAAAACATTAATTTCCCTATGCCTATTACACATGCTATTTGGTAATAAAACAATTGTTCATTCTAGTTATTTTTAATAACATCCAGAGAATGGTTTGGTTGGTATGCTTTAGATGGGGAGGAATTACCTATGTGTGTGTGCACATGTGTGTATACATATGTATTAGGGGTCTCTAGAGGGATAGAACTAATAGGAGAGAGAGAGAGAGAGAGAGAGAGAGAGAGAAAGAGAGAGAGATAGGAAATATATATATATATATATATATCTCCTATTAGTTCTATATATATAGGAGTTTATTAAGTAGTATTAACTCACATAATCACAAGGTTTCACAATAGGCTGTCTGCAAGCTGAGGAGCAAGGAAGCCAGTCTGAGTCCCAAAGCTGAAGTACATGGAGCCCAATGTTCAAGGGCAGGAAGCATCCAGCACAGGAGAAAGATATGGGCTGGGAGGCTAACCACTCTAGCCTTTTTACGTTTTTCTGCCTGCTTTATATTCTAGCCACACTGGCCACTGATTAGATTTTGCCCATCCAGGTTAAGGGTGGGTCCACCTTTCCCAGTCCACTGACTCAAACATTAATCTCCTTTGGCAACACCCTCACAGACACACCCAGAATCAATACTTTGCTTCCTTCAATCCAATCAAGTTGACACTCAGTATTAACCATCACAAGTCTACCCTTTGTCAACTTGAACCCATACACATCTCTGGAGATCATACATAATCTTCAAATAAAGACAATAATAAGATCATAATTATGCCTAACATAATACAACCATCCTTTATACAACTGGAAATGCACCAATCCCCAAACCAAATGGTATTACATAAAGTTAACAGTACTTAAATGCCGATATGATGTCAATAAATCTTATGTCACATGATAAAGGAAAAAGGAAATAAAATGAAGATATTTTCTTAGTACAAGTGCACACATATACAAACATGTTTTTAACAAAAGAAGGAGGAAATACTCATGACAATTACAATCCTCATTTCTGCAACTGGTCAGGTGGTCATAGCTGGTATTGATGACTACCTTCTTCTACTGCCCATTCTGTATTCCCTTTGCCTTCAGCAAGCACCTCAGCAGGCCTTGGTTTTTTTTCCTGGTAGAGTGATCTAAACCTTCATTCCTGAAGGGTCTGAGCCATTTGTAGTCCCGCCTGGATTGGGCTGTTGTAGTTTCCCATTGATCTTAATCACAGGGCATGGTAATACTAGGAGACGCCCTAATGGATCTCCTGTATTCCTTGCATACTCTTTCTTACCCCCATTGTGGAGTAGTAGACTGATTTCATCTTGATAGTCCAGGTCAATCACCCCAGCCAACACTGTAACTCCGTTCTTAGCCTCTTGACTTAAAGTTAGGAGGAGCCCAAAGTGTCCAGGTGGCAATCTTAACTTCCAGTTTAATGGAATTGTCCTTGTGTTCCCTGGTGGCAGCATTCCTTCCCCTGGAACTAAGACCTCTAGGCCAGCAGAACGTAATGTCACGGGAACAGAAAGCAAAAATTTTGCTAGGGGATCACTAGGGGTGATGGTGAGTGGTGCCACTTCCACTTCCACCTCTTGATTCCTGGACCTGTGAATCCTGGCTATGGGAGAAACAGGACCATATATTGGACACTGATTCAGAGCATACACAGCCTTCTGGAGAACTTTGCCCTAGTCCTGCAAAGTATTGTCACCTAGTTGGCATTGTAATTGTGACTTCAAAAGGCCATTCCACCATTCTGTCAATCCAGCTGCTTCAGGATGATGGGGGGAACATGGTAAGACCCGTGAATTCCATGAGCATGAGCCCACTGCCACACTTCTTTAGCCATAAAGTGGGCACCTTGGTCAGAGGCAATGCTGTGTGGAATACCATCACAGCGGATAAGGCATTCCAAGAGTCCACGGATGGTAGTCTTGGCAGAAGCATCGCACACAGGATAGGCAAACCCAATCTGAAGTAAGTTTCCATTCCAGTGAGGACAAACCTCTGCCCTTTCCGTGATGAAAGAGGTCCAGTATAATCAACCTGCCACCAGGGAGCTGGCTGATTACTCCAAGGAATGGTGTCATATCGAGGGCTCATTGTTGGTCTCTGTTTCCTGGCAAATTGGTCACCTTGGCATTGACCGTAGCCAGATCAGTATTGGTGAATGCAAGTCCATGTTGCTGAGCCCATGTGTAACCTCCATCCCTGCCACCGTGGCCACTTTGTTCAGGGCCCATTGGGCGATGACAGGAGTGGCTGGGGAAAGAGGCTGAGTGGTATCCCCAGAATGGGTCATCCTATTCGCTTATTAAAATCCTCCTCTGCTGAGGTCACCTGCTGGTGAGCACTCACGTGGGATACAAATATATTCACAGTTTTTGACCACTCAGAGAGGTCCATCCACATACCTCTTCCCCAAATTTATTTCTCATCAATTTTCCAATCATGCTTCTTCCAAGACCCTGACCATCTACCCAAACCATTGGCTACAGCCCATGAATCAGTATATAATTACACATCTAGTCACTTCTTCTTCCATGCAAAGTGCACAACCAGGTGAACTGCTCCAAGTTCTGCCTACTGGGAAGATTTCCCTTTGTCACTGTCCTTCAGACATATCCTAGAAAGGGGCTGTAGTGCTGCAGCTGTCCACTTTCGGGTGGTGCCTGCATATCATTCAGAGCCTTCTGTAAACCAGGCTCTAGTCTTCTCTTCCTCTGTCAACTGATCATAGGCAACTCCTCATAAGGCCATCAGTGCAGGCTTGGGGAGAGAAGGCAGGGTGACAGGAGTGGAGACTATGGGCATTTGAACCATTTCCTCATGTGACATACTTGTGCCTTCAGGACCTGCTTGAACCCAATCACGTATATACCACCTCCATTTGATGATGGAATGCTGCTGTGCATGACCCACTTTATGGCTAGATGGGTCAGAAAGCACCCAGTTCGTGATAGGCAGTTCAGGTCACATGGTGACTTGAAGACCCATAGTCAAACATTCAGTTTCCACCAAAGCCCAGTAATAGACAAAGAGCTGTCTCTCAAAAGGAGAGTAGTTATCTGCAGAAGATGGCAGAGACTTGCTCCAAATCCTAGAGGCCTCTGCTATAATTCACCTAGTGGGGGCCTGCCAGGAGCTCCAAACGGCATCCCTATCTGCCACTGACACCTCAAGCACCAATGGATCTGCTGGGTCATATGGCCCAAGTGGCAGAGCAGCTTGCACAGCAGACTGGACCTGTTGCAGAACCTTCTCCTGTTCTGAACCCCACTCAAAACTGGCAGCCTTTCAGGTCTCTTAATGAAAGGGCTGGAGTAACACACCCAAATGAGGAATGTGTTGCCTCCAAAATCCAAATAGGCCCACTAGGCATTATGCTTCTTTCTTGGTAGTAGGAGGGGCCAAATGCAGCAACTTATCCTTCACCTTAGGAGGAATATCTCAACAGGCCCCACACCACTGGACCCCTAGAAATTTTACTGAGGTAGAAGGTCCCGGAATTATTGCCCATCCTCTGGCATGCAAATGTCTCACCAATAAGTCCAGTGTTTTTCCTATTTCTTGCTCACTGGGTCCAATCAACACAATGTCATCAGTGCAATGGACCAGTGTGATATCTTGCAGAAGCAAAAAGCAATCAAGTTCTCTCTGAATCAGATTATGACACAAAGCCAGAGAGTTGATATACCCCTGAGGTAGGACAGTAAAGGTATATTGCTGGCCTTACCAGCTGAAGGCAAATTGCTTCTGGTGGGGCTTATGGACAGGAATGGAGAAAAAGGCATTTGCCAAGTCAATGGCTGCATACCAGGTACCAGGAGATGAGTTCATTTGCTCAAGCAATGAAACCATATCTGGTACAGCAGCTGCAATTGGAGTCACCACTTAGTCAAGCTTATGATAATCCACCAACATTCTTCGAGATCCACCTGTCTTCTGCACAGGCCAAATAGGAGAGTTGAATGGGGATGTAGTGGAAATCACCACCCCTGGGTCTTTCAAGTCTTTGATGGTGGCACTAATCTCCACAGTTCCTCCAGGGATATGATATTGTTTTTTATTTACTATTTTTCTAAGTAAAGGCAGCTCTAATGGCTTCCATTTGGCCTTTCCCATCATAGCAGCCCTCACCCTCCCAGTCATGGAGCCAACATGGGGGTTCTGCCAGCTGCTAAGTATATCTCTGATAATTACACATCTGGCACTGGGGAAATAACCACAGGATGAGTCCAGGCACCCACTGGACCCACTGTAAGTCAGACCTGAGCTTTCATTAATTACATGACCTTCTTTAACTGGAGGACCACAATGACGTTTTGGATTCCTGGAATCAACCTCAGTTCAGAGCCAGTGTCCATTAGTCCCTAAAATGTCTGATTATTTCCCCTTCCCCAGTGTACAGTTACCCTGGTAAAAGGCCGGAGGTCTCCTTGGGGAAGGATGGGAGAAAGATTAACGTGTAAATTGTCAGGACCTTGAAACTGTGGCAAATCAAATGTCCCCTTGAGGAAGGACCTAGTCTCACCTTCATTCAAGGGGTTTTGTGTCTGTAAACTGGCTCAAGTCTGGAAATTGATTGAGGGTCTGTCATACTCTGTTTTTCTAATTCAAATTTGTCTTTTGTCCATTTGACCAGGACATTTTCTGCTTTTATAAATTAAGTAGGAATGCAGTAGGCTTCCTAACAATTTCACTTCTAGGAAGACTGTGATTAATTAGCCAATGCCAGAGACTCTTCTGATTGCTGCTTTGCCTCTGCTGTCCATTACAGTAGCTATGCCCACCTTGCCTTTGACACTGCTTGGCCCCTACCACCTCGGGATACAATTGTTCCCATTGTATTTAAATTTTGTAGTTGAATGACTGTGGTTTCCACTGCTAGATCTGATCTACAGAGAAGAACAATTACAGGGCTCTTCAAAAATGCAGGTGCTACCCTCACAAATCTATTTCACAAAGCATTGGTCGAGGTATATCTTCTGGACCCTCCAACGGGGATAAGTAGGTCTACAGTGGCTAATCCACTTCACCATCCCAATCTCCCTAAGCCTTTGCATCCCTTCCTCTACATTAAACCAGTGGAGAGCAGGCATTTCCAGCTCACTCACAGTAGGCCATCTTTTAATCCATGTTTCAGCTAACCAAGCAAATAAACTATTAGAACCTTGTGTAACTCCCTGAGCTGCAAGATTAAATGCAGAATCCCTACTTAGAGGGCCCAAATCAATAAATTCAGCCTGACCCAACTCTATGTTCCTTCCAACATTATCTCACACCCTTAATATCCATTCCCATGCCTGTTCTCCAGATTTCTGTTTATATAAATTACAAACATCGAGCAGTTCTTTTCAAGTGTCACACACCTCCTCATGGATCACACTCTCACCCTCACCTCTAGGGGCCTGCCAAGACGTTAGTCAAGTTACAGGTCTAGAAGCAAACAAGGGTGTTGGGGTTGGTTCCTGAGGAGAATCAACATTATCTTGCCTAGCAATTGCCTCGGGGTGGCCATCACTGTTGCCTCAGGTAGCACAGGGTTTATCTCCTCAGACAAAAGTGGGAAGGCTGATGGCAGCATGAGTCAGGGAGGGGATGTTGCCACTACAGGGGATGGGGAAGCTGTTTCTTCTGGCAAGAAAGGTTCATCGGAGTTTATAAGCTCAGTGTCCCAGCTTCATCAGGGTCCTCCCACATGTCCCCATTCCAAGTTTCAGGGCCTCATTCTTTTCCAATCAATGCCCTCACTTTAACAGTAGACACTTGGTGAGGCTGTGCATGCACGTTAAGTTGCAGTTTAGCCACTCACATGATAAGAGCTTCTGTTTGATTTGCCACAATGTCAGCTCTTTCTCTACAGGAAATAAGACTCTGACTCAGGGCAATCTTAGATTTGAGGCTCAGTATCTGCTTCTGAAGGCAGGAGTTAGAATCTCTGAGTTCATCATTTTCTTTCATCACTTTGTCCAGTGAACTTAGGAGGAACCAACCAGCTTCATTATGTTCCTGGGTTCTCCACATATGGTCAAAGGTGTTATGTATAGAGTCAACAAACTCCTTGCCTCTCACGAGCAATGAATCAGGAGTGTCAAATGCATTTATTTTGTGTAACTCTCTGAACCATTCATACCAAGGATTCTCAGTGTTCTGCATACCATTAGCAGTAGAATCCTTAGCATTTTGAGGTCTAATCATACTAAGCAGCCAGCTGCAGAAATCACAAAACCAACTAAAATAACTCCATCCTTAATATTCTGTTCCTCTACCACCACTCCTGGTACCAAAATCTGTATTAGTCAGGGTTCTCTAGAGGGATAGAACCAATAGGATATAGATATATAAAGGGGAGCTTATTAAGTAGTATTAACTGACATGGTCACAAAGTCCCAAGATAGGTTGTCTGTAAGCTGAGGAGCAAGGAAGCTAGTCCGAGTCCCAAAACTGAAGAACTTGGAGTCTAATGTTCAAGGGCAGGAAGCATCCAGGATGGGAGAAACATGTAGGCTGGGAGGCTAACCAGTCTAGCCTTTTCACGTTTTTCTGCCTGCTTTATATGCACTGGCAGCTGATTAGATGGTGCCCACCCAGATTAAGGGTGGGTCTGCCTTTCCCAGCCTGCTGACTCAAATGTTAATCTCCTTTGGCAACACCCACACAGACACACCCAGAATCAATATTTTGCACCCCTTCAATCCAATCAAGTTGAAACTCAGTATTAACCATCACGACATATATATTCAATTATATTCAACAGATGATGACTAGAGATTACAGAAGCAGATAATCTAGATAGAGATAAGGATATATAGATAAGCATACGAGAGACTCTTCATGAAGCAAAGCTCACTTTAGAGTAGGGAAGATGTTTTTAAAAAAAGTTTTAAAAAGAATAAGAAAATATTGAACTGAAAAGAAATCTATTTAAAATGCAAACGGAAGACATTTTAACAGAATCCATAGGCATCATCTCTTAGAAGGGAAGTGCACACACATATGCATACACACACATGCACGCACACACACATGCACGCACAATCTTGACCTTGACCAGTTATCAGATAGACTTTAAGAAAATGACAATTCTGTGGCATTGTTCTCTTAATCTATTGGGCTACTTCCAGTTATGAGTTCTGGCATTTCAGAGAATCCTGCTTCCATTTACTTTGAAGAAGGAGGAATTTGCAATCATACATTCTCATAATTCACAGAAAATTTTAATGAGTAATAAATGAAAGTGTCATCAACAATCAAAATATGTGAGATAGACGGAAGAAACTTTGCTGAATGAAGTCTTAATTCTAGACTGGAAACATGGTAAAATCAAGTGATTTCTCAATCTAAAGCCCTTTCTAGATAACTGTTGGCTTCTCTGGACCATGCACAAGTAGTGAAAATAATTGTTTAAATTACATCGAGCTTCGAAGCTAAATATTTCACCTATACCATTAAAGTGTAAGATAGAGCCTAAAGCCTAACCACACGGCAGAAATTATTTTTCCCAGATAAGCTGTGGTGAGAAATGAACAGGCATCTAAGAGGCAGAAATCGTGCATTTTCTTTCTCCTTGGACATCGCAACCTTCTCATCAATATTAATCATGAAGTAATACTATACATATACTATGCCTGAGCTTTTCAGGAAATGAATGTGTATATCTGCTTAAAAGTGATTTTATTGTATTGTTTAAAATGTGTAATGTGATCGGCAGAATGACAATTTTTTTAAAGGAAACAAAGTCCCTTGCGTTGAGGATGCCAGCCCTATGAGAAAGTCAGATGATACGATGTAGAGTAATTAACGACAAGGGAATGCTTCCCTGCTTTCACAGAAAGGAAGCCAGAAGCTGTAGTCCATGGGAAAAGTGCAGCTAGCCCTGAGCCAGCTCCTTATCTTTTCCATAGTGTGTGTGATACCAGTAATGTCTGTTATTTGTTTACAGTTTGGTAATGGAGAATGTATTGTGTTATGTTAAACTCCTATTATTTCTGTCTTTGAAGCCTCTAATGCATTTCAACGAGTGTAGACATTTTACACATTTTGAATCGAGGTCATCCAATCCTCATAAAAAAGTTTGGAAAATAAATATTATAACCAACACACAGAGGGAAAATTTAATACCTTAAGGTAAAGTGAATTTTCCCGAGGTTATAATTAATAAGGTGCCAAGTTCGGGTCTTCTATCTCTAGGTCACCAATGTTTCCACTACAACATCACCTCCAGGTGTCTCTTATTTTTAGAAGATTTGTGTACATTGCCTGTGCTACATGTTATCTATTATCGCTGGCTTCTACTTCCTCTCCACCCCCTCCTCCTTTCCCTCCTATCCTAGGGACAAGAAAGTTCAAACCTAGAAGTCCAAGACTGCTTGCCGCCAAGGTTTGGACGCAGTTTCATTTCTGCCAATGAGACTCACTTGGACGAAGCTAGAACATAGAAGGCAGGCTGAGGACACCCCTCCTGTGGCTGAGTGCTGGGGTCGGGCAGCATCTGGACCCCCTTGTTTTGCTTTTCACCATCAGCTTCTTGAGTGGCAGGTGCTGCGACAGCCACTGCTTCCTGACTGCCAGTGCTTCCGTGCAAGGCGGACCACAGAGACCTGGTGATTACACAAAGCTCAGTTCATCTATCGCCACTGAGGAAGAGTTTCGGTAGCATCTCAGAAGGGGAAAATGAGGTGAGGGGGCTTATAGGGCGTGCAGGGCTGGACTAGGGTAGTGTTAGGCAGAAGTCAATTCAGTATGGTCTGAGGTGATCGAGGTTATTGTAGCATTTGGAACACATGAAGCCACGCTCTGTTGCTGTGAAATGTTTGCTTGCTGTCTCATCTTGGAAAATACAGACCCTCAAGCAGCCTGTGTGAAAACAATTTGAACTCAGAGAGTTTGTCTTGCACATCACGCTTTTGTACAGTTTGTGCATTCTTTGAGTCATACTTCATTTTGCCAATTATTTCTGTGTTGTTTCTCTGGCCCTTGGGATTATAGTTCTACTAAGTTTTATCCTGAAGCTAAAAGTCTAGTGCCAACTCCCTGACTTGTTCTCTCATCAGTCAAACAATTTTCCAAGCATCTAATTTTCTAAATAGCAGTGGTTAACAGATGTGTGTCCCCTAGTAAGGTCTTCTCTCATTTTATAATAAATTATTCCAATTAAGATAAGATGACTTTTAAAAAAATTAAATGTCTTTCAAATATTAGGAAAATATGTCTTTGCCAGCAGGTGGCAACCTCTCTGAATTGTAAATTCAAAACCCCAGAAAAATAACCATCCCTCAGAGAGCCAATTCTTCCCTCTGTCTGCCCTCAAAACTACCTACAGAACGTTTTAAAAGTAAAGATGCCTGAACTCCACCCTCCAATACTTTAATGCAGTGGTTCTGGGGTAGAGTCCAAGACACTTTTTTGTAATGCAAGCCCGTGTTTTCTATGGAGAGGATCCAGAGGCAAGGCGGACAGGAAAAAGGTCCCTGAGGAAGGACATGCACCCTCACCCCAGCCTGTGTGCAGAACACAGGCCGACTTCTATACCCAGGCCGGCCGTCAGAGGTTTCTTCTGTGGAAAAACAGAAGGGCTTAGAGGAAAGATCTCCAGATACTGGCAGCTGGGGATCCCTGCGCAAAACCTCAGGAATCTGCCCCCATCACCCTCAAGGTCAAACATCCATGTCTATGCACATGCAGGTCTCAAAAAGCTTTTTTTAATACCATCAGCTACTTTGAACCTAGGGCTTGCAAATTTATGGCAGGCTAAATCCAGCACACAGCCTGCATTTGTAAGTAAAGTTTTATTGAAACACAGTGATGCCAATTTTTTTGTTCATATCTGAATTCTCACTATAACAGCAGAGTTGAATAGTTGTGACAGGGAGAGTATAGCCACAAAGCATAAACAATTTACTATCTGGCCTTTTACAGAACACGTCTGACAATCCTGGTCTAAACTATTAACTAATAGCTAGGATCCTCAAATATTCAAGGGAAACCAATAATAGAAAAAGAAAAAATTAAATGAATAGAAGAATGGACACAAAGATGATGTTTGAAGTAGAAGAAAACAAAAACAACAGAAATAACTGATTACTCTCCAAGTTGATAACATATACTTCAAAGAGACAAAAGATGATATCAAATCCAAAATTTAAACAAACAGAAACAAAAAAGCCAGGATCAGGCATCTTTTAAAAAGGACCAATCTGCTGGGAAGGAGGAGAGTGAGGATGAAGAAAGGTTGGCTAATGGTGCAAACATAGAGCTAGATAGAAGGAGTAAGTTCTAGTGTTCGATAGCTCAGTAGAGTGACTGCAGCTAGCAATTTATTATATATTTCAAAATAGCTAGAAGAGGAGAGTTAAAATGTTCCCAACACAAAGAAATGATAAATGTTTGAGGTGGTGGACAGAATATTTGTACATATTTGTACATATTATGGGGTACATGAGATATTTTGATACATGCATGTAATGTTTGATCATTAAACATTGTATGCGTATATCAAAATATCACATGTACCCCATAAATATGTACATATTATGTATCATTTTTAAAAAAGTAAAAAGTAGAAAAAGAGCAATATGACAAGAAAAAATTCTGAAATTTGTAAATGGTACTCCCATAAAATAATCAGTAAAAGGGTCAGAAATGAAGTCAACCAAATATCTCAAAAAGCAGAAATAAAACACAAAGAAGCCAAAAACATAGACCAGAAAAGATAAGAGACCAATAGAATCAACACCAATAAACCACCAGAAAAAGAGTTCAAAGGAAAAGGTATTGAGAAAATTATCTAAGAAAATGCACAAAAAACCTTTATAAAACTTTAAGATATAAGTTTTCCATCTAAGAGATCTATCATATACCCAATACAATAGAAGACACAAATACAGTAAGTAGGTGCAGTTATGTGAAATTTTAGGAGATCAAAAACAAAGAAAAAATCCTTAAAGCTTCCAAACAGAAAACAAAACTATACAAAAGGATCAAGAATTAGAGTCGTTACTCTAATATATATGCTTAAATATATCAACAGCAACACTGAAAGGAGAAGATAATGTAGAAAACCTGTAGAATTCTAGGAAAATGTTTTGTTTTGCCTAGAATTTGAAACCTAGCCAAATTATTAGTTGAGTATGATGGCTGAGAAAGACATCATCAGACATTTAGTGACTCAAAAATGGTCAAGAAATATTTCTTAGGAGAGACAGGAAGATGGAATATAGAAAGCAAAGAAAAGAAATAGAGAAAATCTAGAAAACAAAAGGCACAAGTTATTTAATCTGTAAAGCAGAATCTTTGAAGCTAGCCATGCTGCAGACCTAGGTAGAACTCAGTCCAGATTGGAGAGGAGGCTGGAGGGCTGTGAGAGAGAAAATTTCCGGATGACATAATGTGGTTCTCAAAAATGCTCTGTGGCTAGCAAATCATCCAAGTGAAGAAATTTGAGAAAACCCAAGAAAAGCAAAATACTATGTAGAAAAGGAAATGTAATTTTAGTTCGCAATGCAACTTTGCAACAAATAGTATTTATATAATTACAATGAGTAAATTCTGATTTAGGTAAAATAGCGTTATTTTAGCAGCTTAGAAGAGGGACATAAAAGCAGAGAGAGCTAAATTGTCATCTACTGTAGCAGGAAATCAATTGAGTATGTTTCAGCTTAATTAAGTAAGAAAAACCAATCAAACCATATTATATGGAAATAAAAAAGAAACCACCAAAAGAAATACAAGAGTTACATGCAGTTATCACTGGGAAGCTGGTCTGAGGAGTGAAGAGAGGTTTTTGGTTTTTGGGTTTTTTTTTTTTTTTATCATAAGCCAATGGTACTGTTTGTTTTCAGGTACATGTGCAAATTTTTTTTTTAGATTTTTTTTTTTAAAGTCAGGGTCTTGCTATGTTGACCAGGCTGGTCTCAAACTCCTGGCCCTAAAGGTCCTTCCACCTCCACCTTCCAAAGTACTAAGATTACAGGCATGAGCCACCACACCCAGCCTAGATTTTTGATAAATAAATACAAATACATAAAGAAATTACTTCAGTGCTATCCAAATTATTCTGCTGCATGGTCAGGTTTAAAGGCAATCATTGCGGACTTGATTTTACTTTACGGTGAAAAATATTGCAAGACCACTTCAAATGGACACCATAGTCTGTGTGGCATCCTTCTACGAGTCTAATGTTTGCTCACATTTTATTGACTGACTTCTTCCAAATAATTTTTATCAAGAGATACGTTAGTTACAAGATACAAGAAGGTAACTTAAATTAGTAGACGTAAGAAAAAAATCTATGTGGTCTATTGGTAGTTTTTGCTCGTTTGCTGTTTTTGAAGAATAAAGACATAAAATGTGACTAATTATAAAGCCTATAAAAATATGTACTAAAGGTTTTATATTAATAAAGTTGGACAAAAAATAGCTTTATATTTCTGTGAGTCACAATTATACAATTTGCATACTTAATAAGATAAAAACAAACCAATCGCTCAGAAGATATGCAACTATTGAGAAAAGTCATTTCCAGAGAGACAGGAAGATACCCCAATTTATAAGAAATGGACTAGTGTTAGAAGTGTCGATCTCTGTCCAGTGAAGCTTCTCTGAGTTTGTAAGAGCTGCGGATGTGTGAAACCTACATAAGATTCCTTTGGCTATAAAAACAGCCTGTTTCATGTCTGGGAAGATGATAACAATTCAATAAGCAAATGTCCAGAGTCTCAGAATCCTAGAATTGGATGTGACCTGGAAGGCCATTAGTCTACTCTGCCATGTGCTTTGACAAATTGGCTGCTGAAACACTAGAATGATGGTCCTAAATAAACACCTTTGCAGCTTTCCCTAAAATGATTGTGTTCAGGGAGCACTGGTTTTTCCACCTTCTTGAACCTAACACTTTACCTTCTCCCTCTAAGCATCAATCTTTCTTCCATTTTGGTATCACTCAAACTTCATGGAAAATAGTATGAGGAATTTGATCAACAGCATGCATTTCAAAGAGACTCTTGAAAATTTAATGAAATTACGCTCTAGTGATAGAATACCAGGTAGCAGGTAAATTGTCCACATTCATGTTCTGCTGAATTCTGGGAACTTTCAGAATCACTTCCAAGCTCGCAGAAGTGGGCACAAAAAAGAAGTAAAAAATGAAGCTCAATGTTAACAATATCCAGTCTACACCCACTCAGACTTGCCTGCCCCTTGCTGCAAAGCCACCCATTCTCTGGTCCCCAGTTTCCCATCTGCTCCCATCCAAGGGAGTGGCTTCTTGGTAGCCAAGATGACAGTCCTGCTAAGCACTACACCCTACCCATGAGAGTGCTGGGCTCACAATCCTAAGACACTACTTGACATCCCACCCCATCCCAAACCCTGTACCACCATCCAGGACACGTCCCGGATACTTGTTGCTGTTCTGATCATACCATGTAGATGTTATCCCATCCCAGGCTTTTCACTTAGGCTCAAGCTGTTCCTGGAACCAAGTCAGGTCCAGGGGCATTTTCTCGAGGCCCAATAATGAGAAGCAGACAAACTAGGAAAGAAGGGAATTTATTGCTATAACCGGATACAGGAAGAAGGCCAGAGATAATTCCACCAGACCAACTCAAAGTGTTACAATTTTCTTAGTGCTTACGTAGGTTGGAGTTATGTGCCTACTTGCAGTATAGCATTTGCCTAAGTCTATTGGTAACTAGTTTTGTCTCAACTAGAAGGTCAGAGGCAAAGGATGCTTGTGAAGTCTGATTAAAAGGGCCCCAGTACCTTCAAGGCCTGTCTACTGTGGTACCAGAGTGATAGTTCCCCAGTACCTTCAAGGCCTGTCTACTGTGGTACCGGAGTGATAGTTTCTATCTTATCTCCTTTACAGCTTGGTCTGGGCCTGTCTACTGTGGTACCGGAATGATAGTTTCTATCTTATCTCCTTTACAGCTTGGTCCAGAGAGCTGCCTTAGACTCTCCAATGAATCTATTCAAACAGCTGCCTATGTTCCCTTGACTTGTCTCAGATTCCGTTGACCTGAGGCAGGTCCTGACACTAGAAATGTAAGGCTGTCTCTATTATTTTGGCTTGCTCCAGGTTAGGAGAAGCCTATGCAAGTCCCCTACTAACATTATGTTTCATTTCTAGCTTTGATGTCTGGGCACTGACTTCCCTAGATTTAACTATTTACCCAATGTTAAGGCAGTGCTGTGGAAATCTGTCTGTGTAATTGGAGTGCTATGCAGGCCTGTCTGTGTGATTGTCATGCATGCCTGTCTCTGTGATTGTCAGGGAAAACTGGCCTGCCACAAAGCCACCCACCTAAAGGCACACAACATCTCTCGTCCTCCAGAATTCTTCAGGCCACCTTCCTACAGGCCATGCTCCACCTAGGCTCACTCCCTGATTCTTATCCCAGACCCGTTTGCTGAACACACATCTTGGACAAGCCTTTGCAGCACCACCTCCGTGTTCTCCCTCAGGACTTGATTCTAGTACTTAGCCCCCTAACTTATCTGCTGGGAGGCTCAACACTTGCTTTTGATAATGGTCCAAGATCACACATAGATGGACCAGTCTACCTCCAGGCTTTCCCATCACCAAGCATTTTCAGGTGGGGCCAAACCATCCCTGATAAGGGGCAAGAAGCAGAGAAAAGCCCATACACGGCAGAACTCTGCAAAAGTAATTCTTGGTGTGTGTCTGGTCATTCAGTGATGTCCATGTTGCTTTTACAGGCATCGTCTTATTGTCTCTTAGGAGACGTGCTGCAAAGGCATTGCATTCTTCTTTGACAAATAAAGCAACTAAACCTAAAGACTAGTCCCTGTTTTATCTAAAGCAGCACAGATACAAAAGAGTGACTCAAACTAGAACTCATTTCTCACCAATGTTTTTCTATGAGGCCTGCCTGTCACTTAATTCAGTTAGGGACATTCTCGATCCCAAACTCCCAGGATATAAGGAACAATTCACAATGGGAAAAATCAGAAACACAGGGTGAGAGCTAGAGATACAGAACATAAATGAGTCATGAAAGTACCAGGAAGTGAACCACAGAACATTCACCCAGTCCACATCCTGTGCGGGCAGGCAGGCTGCTGCCTGAGAACCAGAGCTGCTCTCACTGATGGGGTGGAAATGTGCTTTTCAGGAGGAGATACAGGCTCCTATTTCCTAGAGAATTAATACACAGCTACATGGGTTGCCAATTTCCATCCATTACAAAAGTAATTTCAATATAAAAACTATACAAAATATAACTTACTTATCTTTTATGATGCAAAGGCATTTCTCGGTCCAAGAGGCCCTCTGACTCATTGCTATGAGCGTCAATTATCACTTCCATGAAGGTATATGCTTCTGCTAATTAATGTCAGTTTCTGCCTATCAGAGAGGTTGCCCCAGTGCTAACAGAGCCATGCAGGTAACAGAGTTGGCTAAGATGCAGACATTGCAATAGAGATAAGCTTAGATACTAGCACGATTGCCTTCGCCCTCCAATCACATTCATATCAAATGTATAAGCTTTTCTTTAACCCAACAGGAATGGTCCAGCATCAGATCTAAAGACATCGCCTCCATGCTATCCTCTGATATTCCCCTCTCTCAAACTCTTCAGGGCTCACATAAGTCAATGTCCTTCTTTCCCTACCTGAGACCTACCAGCTCACAGAGGGCAGCTGTCAGCCCATCCTAAGCACGATTTTTCCCAAGGTGACGCTGCCGGACTGCAGAGTGATCTCCCCTGGGAAGCTGTGAGAAGCAAGTTGTGCTTGTTATTGAAAACTGAACTGGAGACAGGGCCTTAGGACCACACCAGAGGGACCAGGCTGCTTGGGAAGGTGTTGCAAATATCACATGCACAGGCTGCTTTAAATATAGCAGGTATTTAGAAGACAGTGAATCCACACAGGTGCTTAAAATGGAGTGTGTATACTGTCAGGATGCCCATGTGTTTGAAAGCTAAGATAATACTCTGAATTGCTAAGCGTGGTACTTCATTTCAGGAGGCCAGGCGGTCAGTGGGAAGCATGACTGTGTATAGTCATGCTGGGATAGGGGGCTGGGAGGGTGAGTGTCCATTTAAAACCCGATAAGCAGTGATTGCTCTTTTTACTTCTGTATCTGTTCGATTGATTCATTAAATCTTCACTGATCACTTGCCAAGTGGAGAGTCCCACGCAAGGCAGTTTGAGAGACACAGAGCAAACATAAGGCAGGGTCTCTACACTCCAGAAACCTAAGATGCAGGTGTGAAGATGCATCACACGCACCCAGAGCCATCAGTAGCAGAAGAGTGTGAGTGATTAAACAGTCTGATGCAGGGGGCATGGTGGGCAGTGCCAGAGCTGTCTTCACCACTCAGGGAGCTGACTGATCTGCACATGACCCTGTGTCCTGTGCCCAGTTCCTAGAACTGAAAATCAATCCTGAGACTGCAATAAAGCTAAAACAAAAAATGAGATGATATAAGATGAAATAAAAAGGAAACAGCACATAACAGGAACCCAAAAGCAATGATACTAATAATGACAATGACCATGATGATGATGATAGTGACAGAGTGTGTGTCTCCATATTAAACATATGATGACACGTTTGACCCATGGCAGATGTGCACCCACAGACACAAAGTTGTGACATACATAGTGAAGATCTGGAATCCACGGGTTCTGACTTATATCCAGCCATGATTATTCTAGTGGCATCACGAAACACAAATTCCACAAATATAATGGTTTCAAATGCTAATAAAACAATCAAAAGCTCAAACTTAAAACCTTATTTAATATCTTTCCAACCAAGAGACAGGGAGAAACCCAAGAACAAAGTTCGGAATACACCACTGCACAACTTTCCAGAGATTGCAGATGACCTGGTCACTTACCCAAATGTACAGCTTTCACTCAGCAAAAATTTCTACATCTATAAATGCCTAAAGCACAAAGTGCATTTTTTACTGTATCTCATCACTCAGATTTTACGATGGAAACATATTACAAACCATATATTTTGTATTTCACACAGGAACTATGAAGAAGAACATATCTTACATATGTGCGCATGTATGTCACACACACACACACACACCCTGTATAAGATCAAGTAAATACATTATGTATAAAAATATTATATGTTGCAAATCATGCGTCAACCTGTTTGAAGAGTAGAGGAATGCAGCAATTGAATTTTCATTCCAGGTTCCAAGCAATATTTCAGTAGAGAATCTCCTTGATTTTTGTTATTAAGTTTAGACTCCTCTTAATTACAACAACAAAAGTTCCTATTTAAACAGTACCTTTCAGCTCAGTCCCATTTTCGCAGCTATTGCAGGAGCCCTCCACGTTGAGCCAGAGTCTTGGGCAGGCATGAGGTTCTATGTGTGTGTCATTTTTGGTTTACATCCCGTAGTCACCTCGGCATGAATCCCAAAGCAGACCAGCTTCAACAAAGCCACCACCAGAGGTGTCTAATGGCATAAGCTATCAGCCAAAAAAAAGAAGCTTTTCTGGACCTGGGGACCTGATGAAAGTCCCCCCAAAGGAGTCAAAGTCACTGCATTCAAGATAGAGATTTTTTTAACATGCTGTTGATAAAATGAAAGAGTATGAACTTTTTTCTTGCAGCGCCAGATCACAGATATGAGGTCTCTGCCCTCCACACCTGCTCTTATGAAGCAACTGCAGGATCAAGGTACTACCAGGGAGACTCAAGCCTTGCCCAAAAAGAAGAATCCATAAGAATGAACTTACTGATCATTCAGCAAGTTCAGCTGGCCTAAGGAGAAAACTGAATTAAATTTGAAAACAAGAATCATTTTTGCCTCATGACCCAGGTGCTTTGCTGTGCCACTACCTACTTTCATTCAGATTGTTGAGTTTAAAGACGTGGAATGATATTATCCCTGCTCCTGTTTTTGAGCATTAACCAGCTGGTCCCCACCTTGTAAGACACCGGTGCTCCTTGTTCCAGAAAACGCAAGAATGAGGAGGTGCTAACTGGAGCATAAAAGGCAAAAGAAAAGTGAGCAGAGATTCACAGTGCAGGAAACCACTGAGGAGAGGAGCGAAGGCGACTGTCCCTGCATGTGTGATCCGGTAAAATAGAAAAGTGCTCATTTCATTTTCCGTTTCACCATCCAAGGCCTCTTCCTTAAGCTCGGCACATGTGCCCATGTCAAGACCCGTCACCCACATTGCTGGGTGCGCAATGTGTAGCCAGAAAGCTCGGAAGTGACTTAGTTCATTCATTCTGTCTACACCCTCACTACTCCCAGCAGAGACCCTGGGACAGCAGCACCAGGGTCACCTGAGAGAAATGCAGGTTCTGGGGCCACCCAAACCCACCAAAACAAAAGCTGCCTTGTAACAAGATCCACGGTAGTTTCTGTGCGCAATAGAGTGCAGGAAGCTCCCCAGAGAATGTCCTCGAAACCCCAAGTCCTGTGCATCTGATCAGAGTCTGTGATGGCCCCCCCACCATCAGCCGCACCAACGTCTGGGACGCTCTGCAGGGGACATCTCGGCCACGTGCCAAGGAACACGTCCCAGTGTGCCCACACCCCATGCCATGAAGAGGGCACACACAGAGCCACAGAATCCGCCTTTGGACTGTGAAGTAACTGGAGTGGTCACCTCTCTGGTCCAGTGCTCTCACCATATAGATGAGGAAGCCGAGTCAATGTCACATAGCTGAGATCTCAAAGTTAAGCATTTACACAGGTGAGGACAGGCCCCACAACCTCCCTAATTTCTCATCTGCTTTGCTGCCTCCTCTCTCATGAACACAGCTGGGCTTGTAGCTCAGGAGGAAGGTGTGAGGAGTTACTTATAAAGTGAAAAGTTAGCAGGAATCTTGGGGACAGCCCAGCCTCTCCATTTTCTATGTGCAGCGGGGCCCCGGGGAAGATGAGGCATTCCACACCCATGCAAGAGAGCGGCAGAGCCTGGGCTGCACCCACATCTCCTGCATCCCAGGTGACTCCCATGCACCCCATTTTCCTGACACATTTTGCCCTGCTCTATTAGCCAAGACAGGTGCCCAGGTACCAAAGGACTCCTACTTACTGTCTCCTTCCCACAGCCAACAACATGGGGCCTCCAGGGAGTAGACATCAGCTGCCTGCTTGCCCTTATTTGAGAAGCCCTAAAAATTCTTTCTTCTGGGCTTCAGACATCCTCCAGACACCATCCACCAGGGTTCATATATTTTTCTACCTTTTGAGGTCTTAGGGAAAAAAAAATACATTTCTTCCTTCAATCACCATAATAACCACCACTATCCTCTACCCTTCTACCTCTTGCTTACACTGCCAGATTAATTTGTATAAGACATATGTTCAACAGAGGAGGGAGAAATCTATTCAGTTTATCCCCTGTCTATTCCCGTGAACTGTCTAGATAAATTCTACATGGAAGCTTCGGTCCATTCCTATCATCAAAGCTGCTCCCCATCACTGGGAGAAGGGGTGAAACTGGCTATAATTGTTCCAGTTAATTTTAGCTGAAACCTTTTTAAAAAACGGAAAGTCAGACTTCCTGTTGACAATATGTCATTCCAATTTCTCTATTTAATCATGAGGAAAACCAATGTTGTAAGTGGTTAAGGGAGGTTGTATTAGTCTGTTCTCATGCTACTAACGAAGACATACCAGAGACTGGGTAATTTATAAAGGAAAGAGGTTTAATGGACTCACAGTCCCACATGGCTGGGGAGGCCTCACAATCATGGTGGAAGGCAAAGGAGAAGCAAAGGCACCTCTTACATGGTGGCAGGCAAGAGAGCGTGTGCAGGGGAACTGCCCTTTATAAAACCATCACATCTTTTGAGACTCACTCACTATCACAAGAACAGCAGGGGAAAAACCCACACCCATGATTCAATTACCTCCCACTGGGTCCCCTCCATGACACATGGCAATTATGGGAGCTACAATTCAAGATGAGATTTGGGTGAGGACACAGCCAAACCATATCAGAGGCCAAGCAGAAAGGGCCAGGTCAGCAGGACAGAGGGGAGGGAAGACCAAGCAGGAGGAAGCATCCTAAAGTGGAGAGAAGAATCAATTCTGCCCAGTGGTTCAGAGGTTGACTAAGCTTAAAGCAAAAAAATGCTGTCTGAAAAATTCTGTCTTCGAGTCCCAGGAATGCTGAAACAAAGCCTCACAGACAGATGGCTTCAGCTGCAGAGGTGCATCTCCTCCTGCCCTGGATGCTGGGAGCCTGAAACAAAGGTGTCTGCCGGCCCCGCTTCCTCTCGGGCTCTGGGTAGACTCCTCCCCTGCCCCTTCCGTGCACATGCCTGGCAGCCCTTGGTGTTCAAGGGTTTTTGGACATCATTTGAGCACTTGCCTCCATCTTTGCATGGCAATCTTGCCTTCTATGTGTCTGGGTCCACGTTTCCCTCTTCTCATAAGGACACCAGTCATTGGATAAGGGCCAAGCCTAAGCCATTATGATCTGACTTTAACTTGATTACCTCTGGAAAGACCCTGTTTCCAAAGAAGGTCACAGCCACAGGGACTGAGAGTTAGGGCATCCACATATATTTTTTGAGGGGCATAAGTCAGCTCGCAACAGACGTCTACCAGACTTGGGTATAAGGAAGCCACTGGTGATCTTCCCACTACGCTTGATTGTGCAGCTAGAGAGAGCCAGGTAAGGACAGCAGAGATGTAAGGAAGTTGGGAGGGCAGGGGAAGAGTCCCTTTCAAGAAGCCTGGTTGGGGTCAGAAGAACAATGGCAATTGTTAATGAGGACATACATTTTGGAGGTAGAACATGGTCTGTGTGTTTGTTTTATGAACAGATATGGGCATGTTGAAGGGAAGTACCTGATGGAAAGTGAGAAGTTGGAGATGCAGAAGAGAAAGGTTTACTGATGGAGTAAAGTCTTGATGGAGATGAGTGTGGGTGAGGGAAGACCTCAGCCTCGGGCAGGGCAGGAGAAGAGGCTGAATGGAGGTGGGAGTTGCTCCTGGGGAGAGGTGGCAGAACCAGCTAACAAAATCGATTTGGAGAGAGGAGAGCAGGAGGCCTGCTAATCTACTCTACAAAGGTGTACCCAACCAACTGGCACATCAGAGCTTCTGGGTGCCAGGAACCAACAAGGAACAGAACAAAAAGCCCTTCTGTTCTGCTGGTGGGGGAAAGGGAGGTGAGGAGTGGATGGGAGTGGGGGTGGGGATGGGATGTAGACACTTTTTAAAATAAAGTTAACTGTCACAATATTTTAGATGGGGAAATACTAGAAGAAAAATAAATGAGCAGGATAAGGGGAATATGCTCATAAGGGTGACACAATTTGGAAAACGTTGGTCTGGATGGGACTTTTAGGGAAATGCAGAGACTGCCAGGGAAGGAGGTCATGTTCTGGAACCATGCCAGGGATGTGTGGATGTTGAAGAGGCATTGTTCCAGGGATGGAGATGTCCACCCAACCGCCTGCCTGCCTGAAAGGGCTCCTCACTGGATTAGTTCCCTGCACACCAGGTTGCATTTGTCTGGAGGGCCTTCCTCCACACCCCATCCACTGTCCTAAATACTGCTCACCCTCAAGACTCCGAGAGACAGCCCAGTCTTCCAAGCACCTTCCCAGTCCCTTCTCGGGTGGATCAGAATTTGGGGCCCATCCTCCATGCTCTCCTCAACAAGTGCTGTTAATGTCCATCAGCTGCTGCTCCGTCCCTCTGCAGAGCATGCTCCTCCAGGCCCATGGGTGTGTTCCACCACTGTCCTTCTCGTCTGTGCCTGGTACAGGGCACGGCACTTAGTTGCAGTTAGATTCCATAGGTAATTGCTGAAGAAACAGGTGATGGAGAGGGAAGGGGAGAAGGGAGGGAGCAGGGAAAGTGAGACAGAAGGAAAGAAGGGAAAGACAGACAGAAGTGGTCCTTGTGAATGGAGGAGGTGTCAGCCGTGTGCAGGATCGTGAACCATGAGAAAGTAGGACCGGCCAGGTGAAATGTGAAGGGGGCTTCCTGACTCCCATCTACCCATTCCAATCCATTCTCCATAGACAGACAGATCTTTACAAATCATACCTTAAGACTTTTTCCCTCTTGATCAACGATCTCCAATGTCTCCCCTTTACCTACAGACTAAATTAAAACTGATCAGCCCAAAAGAAAGACTTTCATCATTTGGCAAAAACTTACCTCTGCCAACTCCTCTAGGTCCAGGTGAAATGTAGGACTTGCTGATATTGGAGCACAGTCTTCACGCTACTGCTACGACTTTGCTCACGCTCCCTGGAACGCCTCCTACAGCTGACACTGAAATTCTATCCCTCTCACGTGGCTAAACTCAAAGAACTGCCCCTCACAAAGTCTTCCAGGATCTTGTCCTTCACCCTCACAGCCTCATTCCACATTTTGTTAACCTTGCCTTGGCTTTTATCCGACTCTGCCTTAACGTTAGGACATTTGAATGTGGCTACATCTGTCTCATTAATCCACATGCTCCAGAAAGAAATGAGCACATGTTACTCATCTTTGTTTTTCCTTCAGCGTTCAGCGTAATAAAAGATATTTCACAAATGGGTTTGTACATGAATGAATGAATGAACATGAGTCAAAGGAGAGAGGCTGGGTTATGATGGAGACAGCCCAGAGTTAGAATTCAGAAGACACAAATTCTGGCCCTCCTACCTACTGACTGTGTGACCTAAGATGATCACTTTAATCCACACTAAGGTGCATCTCCAAAACATAGCATTTATACTATATATTCTCTAAAGTTTCTACTCCTCTAATAATTCACATACAGTAAAAATTCCAAGCAATTGAAAGCTGGCTTCCAGTTCACCGATGTTTCACAACATCCTATTTCAGCATTATTTTTACAAGGTGGGTTTAATCATTCTGAATTACAGCAAGAAAATGAATATGACACCATGTAGGTATAAAGTCTTTGAGTCCAGGAAATCCCTGAGGCCTATGACAATTCCAGAATTGGTATATCCTGATAGTCAACATGGTAAATGATGATAGCACCCAGACACAAAATTGCCAAATGCACAGAGAGCAGCATTGTCCACGTTTGGCAGGTAGCAAATTGAAATGCAGCTGGACTCTTCTATTTCCAGTCAGGACACCATTTATCACAAGCCCACGTATGACCCTGTGGTGCACCTCGCTTGGGGGAGGGGATGCTCAGGGTTGTGCACTTCTGCTCTATCCGTGTTGTGCACTGGAAAATGAGGTTGTAGGCATGGACTTCAGCCACCTCTGGAAGTAATAAAGGCTGAACTGACACTCACGTGCTTGTAACACTCAAAGCAAGGCAGAAAGCGAAGTGCTGCCGCAGCATAATGATCTGCCCGCAGAGAATGCCGGTTCCATTTCCACCCTGAGAGCTACAGGAATGTGTCATCTACTTAGGACAAACGAGGGGTAAGATAGAAGGTGTGAGATATTCTGGGTAACCTAATGAGGAGAGGATAAAACATAGGAGGCATTTGGTCTGTTCATTTTCAAGGCAGTAACTGCTAGTTCAAGGTTACTTCTGCACAGCCAAAGGAAAGAGAATAAATCTACGCTCTCTGTCAGCCAGGAGACAGTCTCCATATTCTATGAAGGGTGGAAATGGGCTCCCTTGGGAAATTAAAGTGGCCATCTTGGTGAATCTGTAGGAGAACATGCAATTAAAATTACAATTTTTTTAAAATGACTTTTCCATCTCTGTGCTGTGTAGCTAGCTGTGGGAAAAACCCCTAAAGGAAGATCTGCCCTCCTTTACCAGTTGTTTGCTAACAGGGCACTCGCAGTCCACTGTGGGAGGGGTGGGGGGAGCCTATATACTTTTTTCTTAGTTAAGACACTTGGCTTAAAAAATAAGTAAAGGCGATCAAATCACCACATTAAAGGAATAACTATTAGCAAACTCTTATTTTCCCAGGATCAAGATGAGCTGAAACTTGAAAATGAACATTCCAACGTTTTGAGATACTATCTAAAGATTTGCTGTCCTGAAAAAGTTCAAGATAATTATAATTACAGTGAATTGTTCCATTCACAGAATCTTCAAGTTGGCAGTTAAGTGACAAAAGCTCAGGAATTCAGATATGATAAAAAATCTTGATGACTGTCCAAGCATAAGGGAGAATACAAATGAGGAGCGAAGAGGAACTCTTTCTGCTCGGTTTAAATCCTTTTCACACTCATCATTACTTCTTTCTCCTTCTTTTTCCCCTTTACATTCTCCTTCTTCGACATTTTTCAATTTACGTGATCTTTTCTCAATTTTAGCAAAATTTCAGGGTTTGTTATAGCCAGTGAGCAAAGGCAGTACTTTATGTCCATATCAGTTAAATCGTTTGAAATGACCATCATCTGCTGCTTTAAATTTTTTGAAGATTTTCTTACAAAATTTGTCATTCTCATTTACACCCTAGTTTTTCTAATTCATTCGTTTTGATTCTGATACTATGTATTGGCACAATTGTTATAATTAAGTCTAATTATATAATTAGCATAACATATGTGATCATGTAATTAGAATGTGCAATTACATAATTACAACGTGTAATGGCATCAGGATGTAAATATCTTTCTGAAATGTCAGGAAGAAATATCCTCTCTTTGCTCAAGAGGTAGTTTTAAAGTTCAGTTTAGCATTTGATTCCAGAATGGAAATTCAAATATTATTTGAATCAACCACTTTAATTATGCTTAGGGAATAAAAGCTTTATTTTCTCTTCATTTAATATCTTTTCAAACTGAAGTACAAGGTAAGAAACTCTGCAATGTATCAAAAGTGTTTATTTAATTTTCCTACATTATTTGAGTTGGGAAAATACAATTATTAGAACTCCTGGAAAAATGAACCAATCCTCAAAATTTATATACTTGGATCTAGCAAATTTATATCTAAAAATGTAATAGTTCCTTTAATCACCGGTTAGCCCCACAATTACCACATGCTAGGCATGGTCTCCTGGATGCTTCACAGCCTTCTCAAGCCCCAAAATATACAAAACCAAGCACATTTTTCATCCAGACTTGATTTTTCACCCATATTACCTCCCTCAATGGTGCTCAGACTTCAGCATGAATGAGAATCACCTGAAGGGCTCCGTATACCAGATTTCTGAGTCTCACCCAAGAGTTTCTGATTAGGTAGACCTGAAGTAAACCAAAGAATGTGCAATTTTAACAGGTTCCCAGGTGACCTGTGTCTGCTAGGCCAGGGACCACACTTGTAGAAATATTGTCTTACCCATCACAAAGTTTCCCAAGCTAGAAACTCAGATTAATTATTGCCTCCTCTGTTGTTCACCTCCCATACACTCATCCACTCACCTGATCTCTGAGTCCAGTGGGTTCCACCTCAAGACATCTCCTGAGTTACTTCCCAACCCTCCTCTGCATCCCTGCTGGCCATGCTGCTCACAGGAGAGCATTCAGCTCTCCTGTGCTAGCACCATGCTGGTACCAAGAGGGAGGTGCTCTTCTCATTTCTCCCCCAGTCAAACCCCAAAGTAGCACCAATTTAATTACACTTCAACTCTTCCTTTTTGAGAATGAAGTGCTCCCCTGACCTACAGAATGGCTTTCACTTCTTAGCACGGCAGCTCCCTTCCCAAGCACTCCGCTGCACTCCCACTACCCCTACACCATGACTCCTTTTGCTAATGCTGTCCCCTTTGTGTGGATGGAGGGTCTAGGCAGGGCCTGACCTGTCACTAGAAATCAGAGACTCATGGAATGAGATCACACTGTGGACACAGGAAGCCTTGATTTTGTGCAAGTCCAGATGCAGAGACAAGATGAAGAATATTGTGGGGGAGGCGTTGAGTAAATGTAGACAACAGGAAGGGAGGATGGCTTTTTTAGGCAGGACAGTGGGCCCAATGCTTTACCTATTTCTCATTTAGTCCTCACAAGTATCTGTTTTATAAGTTACGTTTGCTACATGAGAAAACATGAGGCTCAGGAAGATCACACAGCTTGTTTAAGGTCCAATATCCAGTAAGCAGCACCATCAAGTTTGAAACCTACGTTGTAACAAATATGCTGTCTGCCTCCAAAATCCAGACTTGTTTAACACATTTCCACTGTTGGATGATTTCATGGTTAGAGGAAGAAACATATTCAAGTAGTGCTGAAGAGCTGATGGATGTGGAACTGGAAAGCAATCTCCAAGGCAGAAGTCCCAGCCTTCTTGGCACCAGGGATGGATTTCATGGAAGACAATTTTTCCATGGACTGGGTTGTGGAGGATAATTTCAGGATGATTGAAGCACATTACATTTATTGTGCACTTTAATTCTATTATTATTACATTGTAATATGTAATGAAATAAGTATACAATTCACACGATATAGAATCAGTGGGAACCCTGAGCTTGTTTTCCTGCAAATAGATGGTGGGGGTGATGGGAGACAGTGACAGATCATCAGGCATTAGATTTTCATAAGGAGCACACAACCTAGATCCCTCATATACACAGTTCACAATAGGGTTCATGCTCCTATGAGAATCAAATGCTGCCACTGATCTGACAGGCAGTGGAGCTCAGGTGGTAATGAGAATGATGGGGAGCAGCTATAAATACAGATGAATCTTTGCTTGCTTGCCCACTGCTCATCTTCTGCTGTGCAGCCCAGTTCCTAACAGGATGCAGACCAGTACTGGTCCGTGGCCCAGGAGCCGGTGACCCCTGCTCTAGGAGACCTATAGGATGGCTCTATCTCAGGCCCTGCCCTTGTCAAAGTTCTTAGTAAACCCTATAAGACCTGGAGCCTGTGGTTCTCAGAGTTCAGAAGGTTCTCAGAGTTCAGAAGGTCTGCTAATGAATCACTGAATCATCAATCACAGCATTATACAGGAATGAGGACAAATGCAATACAGCACATTTAGTACTAAAATAATTGAACAACTTTCAGGATTCAAAGAAATTTCATGTTGACAGCATACAATTTGTGAAGGATCTAGGGATTTCTCTTGACTGTAAACTTAAGGGCCATCAACATGACATGACTTCTAAAAAATATGTAAAAATAAAATTATGCTTGTTTTCAACATGGCACTTGATTCAATCTTTAAAATGACTCCTCTTCTTCAAGGCAAAGTATCTCAAATTATGTGAAAGACTTATCCACACTCAACAGCAAGAGAAACATGCCCATAGTTTAGAAAGGAAAGAAAAAACCATAGAGCAAAAAAAGGATAAAAGCCATTAACCTGTGGGCTCTTAGTCCAGGTACATGAAAAGGCACAAACAGGTACCAATAACACCCAGCATAAGGTAAAGAACTAGAACAAGGTGGATCTTTGGTCCTGGTTCCTGTAGTGGATATATCTTATATATCTATATGCTGTATCCTTATAACGTAAGGATAATACAATATCCTTATAATATAATGTAAATATAGCGTATAGATTTTACAAAAATAAAATCCACTCTAAAATCTCTTTTCCACTCTGAAAGGAAAAGAGAAAAGGCTCCAAATTCAGGTCTTGGCTATAATTTATATGAAAATTCATACCTGAGAAGTGAAAGAAAAAAGATCTAGCTAAGCAATGAGCTCCTAAGCCAAGGAACCCATTGACCCAGTGACAGCCCTAAAGATGCCCCTGGAGCCAGCACTCTGAGTGCTTCTGCACCCCTGGGGTCTGGTTAGAAGGAACCCTGTTATCTCCGTGGAGGGGTAGGGCTAAGCACAGATTGAGAAAGAGAAAAAAGAACTGGAAAACTAAAATTTCAAAACACAAAAGCAAAAGAATACTAAGAAAAACAACCAAAAATATCAACAATGAAAAGGCAAATTCATTCCAAGCAAATGCAAATAATAGAGCAAAATAAAAGTGAATATAAAATAAATGTTTGAAATCCTCAAATGAGTAAAGAATGCTATAACAGCCATAAAAATAAAATAAGTAAGAAACAAATGAGATTTAAAAAAATGTAGATGTGAAAAAGAACTGATTGGAAATTTTGGAATTAAAAAATGTATTCATTGAAATAAAAATTCCTGATAATAAGGTAAACTCTAAACTGGATATGTCAAAGAAATAATAAGTAAAGTAATAGATATTGCTGAGTAAATCATCTAAATATGGGTTAAAATATGATAGCACAATGAGGAGATATGAGTAAGAGTTGAAGCTCCAAAAATTCATCTAGAATAGAATAAGAAGTTCCAGAAGAAGAAATGACAGAATTTGAAAGAAGCAATATTTTAAAAGACAAAAAGCAAATGAGTTTTTTCAGAATTGAAGAATCTTCAGATTGAAAGCACCCACCAGACATTAAGCTTATTAAATAAGCTTATATAAAATATATCCATATGAAACATCGGAAAACTATAGATGAGAAATGCATGAAACCAACCAGAGAGAAAACAGTTTGCTTTCCAAACAACAATTAGATATCAGCAGAATTGTCATCAGAGTAAAAAATAGAAAGCAAAAGATGTTGACTGAAGACTTCAACAGGAATATAATTTTCACCCTAAAATTGTATGCCCAGCTAAACTATTTTTAAAGTGGGGCACCACAAAAAGACATTTTCAAATATGCAAGAGCCACGATGAGTTGCAACTTACACACTCTTTACTAAAGAGTGTTCTAAAGACACAGGAACCCATGGAATGTAAGAAACCACAGTGAGCACATGACTTGGTAGACTCTATTAGTGTATCCACTTAATGAGTAGAGGAAATAATCCTAAAATGTGTGTTTAAAATATAGAAGAATTTTAATTTTAAATAACAATAGCAACAATGATAGAATGGGGAAATATATTTGGTAGACATATATTTTTATATATATGTATATACATGTATGTATATATGTACCTATATATGTGTATATTTAAAAGTCTACGTCTTTTATCTGATTCAAAAAGACTACAAAAGCTAATGAAAAAGTTAGAAGATTTTAACATAATTAGTATTATGTTAAGGTGCAATGTAAGCATAAAAAGCTATAAATATAGCTTATAGATTTTACAAAAATAACTATTTACAACCTATGGAAATAAAAAACTAAGCAAAAGAGCAAAAAACACAGTAGTTCAGTGAAAATGCATTTATATAAAAATAAGAGAAGTAATTCTATGTCATTAATCATTTAATAAAATAAATTAAATTTATAATTTTTTAAAAAAGCTATTATCAGCTGAGACTTATTTTATAATCCAGAACTAACATGCTTACAAGTGACACATGGACAATAAATGTATAAAGAAAGGGAGAAAATGAAGGGAATGGATAAAGATTAACCAGGCAGATAATATACTAAAATAAAGAAAATGTAGTAAATAATCAAAAAGCTAAATTTTAGGTAAAAATTATGAAGAGTGATGAAAAAAGCAAATGATAAAACAATAGAACACAAAGATAGAGCAGTTATGTATCCAAGAATACAGCTTCAAAGTATACAATACAAAAAAAAAGTATTACAGAGAATAAATCTATAATCATCACAAGAAAATTTAATGTATCTCTATTCAAAATTAATAAAGCAACCCTAAAATATAAGAAGGATATATGAGATATTTTGTTTGTTTTGGTTTGATTTCAGCTTTTATTTTAGTTACGGGGGCACATGTATAGGACTGTTACATGGGTATATTGGACCCAGGTAGGCAGCATAGTACCCAGTAGGTAGTTTTTCAACCCACACTCCACTCCCTCCCTCCCACCTCTAGCAGTCCTAAGAGTCTATTGTTTCCATGTTTATGTCAACGTGTGCTTAATGTTTAGCTCCCACTTTGAGAACATGTGATATCTAGTTCTCTGTCCCTATATTAATTTACTTTGGATTATGGCCTTGAGCTTCACCCATGTTGCTGCAAAGAACACGATTTAATTCTTTTTTTATGGATGTGTAGCATTCCATGGTGTATATGTACCACATTTTCCTTATATAATCCACCACTGATGGACACATAGGTTGATTCCATGTCTTTGCTATTGTGAATTGTGCAGTGTTGAGCATACAAGTGCATATGTCTTTTTGATAAAATGATCTACATTACTTTGGGTATATACCCAGCAATGGAATTGCTGAGTCAAATGGTAGTTTCATTTTAAGTTCTTTGGAAATCTCTAAACTGCTTTCCACAGAGGCTAAACTAATTTACATTCCCACCAACAGTGTATAAGCGTTCCTCTTTCTCTGCAGCCTCACCAGCATCTGTTGTTTTCTGTCTTTTTAGTTATAGCCATTCTAACTGGTGTTACAAAATTCTAATGACTCCACCAAAAGGCTACTAAAATGGATACACGATTTTAGCAAGGTTTCAGGATACAAAATAAATGTACAAAAAAAGTAGCGTTTTTACACATCACTAACATCCAGATTGAGAGTCAAATCAACAACACAATCCCATTTACAATAGCCACAAAGAAAAATGAAATATGTAGGAATACAGCTAACCAAGGACATGAAAGATTTCTACAAGGAGAACTACAAAACACTGCTGAAAGAAATCAGAGATGACACAAATAAATGAAAAAAACATCCTATGCTCACGGATTGGAAAAATCAATATCATTAAAATCACCATACTGTCCAAAGCAATTTACAGATTCAATGCTATTCCTATTAAACTACCAACATCATTCTTCACAGAATTCAAGAAAAACTTTTAAAATTCATATGGAACCCAAAAAAGAGCCCAAATAGACAAAGCAATCCTAAGCAAAGAGAACAAAGCTGGATATTGCACTACCTGACTTCAAATTATACTATAAGTCTACAAAACACTGTGGTACTGGTACAAAAACAAACACATAGACCAATGGAACAGAATAGAAAACTCAGAAATAAAACCACATGCCTACAACAATCTGATATCTTCCACAAGGTCGAGAAAAATAAGCAATGGGGAAAGGACTTCCTATTCAATAAACGGTGTTCAGATAACTGGTTAGCCATATGCAGACGAATGAAACTAGACCCGTATCTTTTACCATATACATGAAATGGATTAAAGATTTAAATTGAATACCTCAAACTATAAAAATCTGAGAAGAAAACTTAGGAAATGTCCTTCTTGACATCAGCCTTGGCAAAGAATTTATGACCAAGTCCCCAAAAGAAATTGCAATAAAAACAAAAATTGACAAGTGGGACCTACTTAAACCAAAGGACTTCTGCACAGCAACAGAAACCGTCAATAAAATAAACAGACAATCTATGAAATAGGAGAAAATATTCACAAACTATGCACCAACAAAAATCTAATATATAGAATCTATAAAAAAAAAAAGTAAACAAATCAACCAGCGAAAAACAAATAACCCCATTAAAATGTAGACAAAGGACATGAACAGACACTTCTCAAAACAAGACCCACAAGCTGCCAACAAACAAATGAAAAAAATGCTCATCATCACCAACCAGAGAAATGCAAATCAAAACCACAATGAGATATATAAGATTTGAAAAAAAATGAAATGAACAAGGTTGTTCTAATAGCGTTTTTTTATGGAACTTGGCAAATCAATTTTAAAGGTGAGAACAAACATCAGATGTTCAAGAATAGTTCTGAAAATTCTGAATAAGAACAACGAGGACAAGAGGCTTGCGCTCCAGTTGCTAAGATTCATTATAAAGCGATATCAACTGATAGGGCGGCATTAGCATTGGGATAGACACACATATCTTTAGTACAAAAGGTCTTAGACTCACTCGTGCGGTCTTGGAATATGATGGAAAAGGTACTACAAATCAGTAGGGAAACAGTGTTCACGTAGTCACTACTCACAGGTAAAAACAATGATAAAATTAAGTACCAACCTCACATTATACAGTGAAATAATCTCCTAATGGCTGAATAAACCATATATGAAAAAATGCTTAAAATATTAGAAGAAAATATTGGTGAATATTTTTATTTAACATGAATGAGAAATAAAGCTGTGTTGTTGTAAACTCCTGAGATGTTAGGAATTTTGCTAGTGCTGAGCGAAAGCTGACTGACAGAGGACTGAACAGAATACTGGTGATTTCAATTATACCCATAGTGTTTATTTTTTAGAGAAAATATGAAGGAAATATAAGCAAAAAATAATATTAATTAATTCTGAGAAAGAGGTACAGGGATGTGATTATCTTTTCTCCTTTAATTTTAAATAATGAAAAAGCATATTCTTCTTTAAAATTTTGGGGTTACATTAAAACAAGTGAGGTGCAAGTTAAGGAGATGATACTGTCTCACCTATGCCGCTAAAATATTTCATTCAGTTCTAGGAGCCACCCAGAATGGGAAAATGACAAACAAGGAAACCAGGGTGCCTTCTGAGGAACAGCTAAGCAAACCAAAACTATTTAGCCAGAAAGAAAAGACTGAAAGAAAAACCTGTCATCAAAAAACTACAACATGCCAGAAAAGAAGAGGGTTCAATATTTTCCATATTGGCTCAAAAGGCGCCTTTCAACTCAGCATAAGGAAGAACCTTTGAACAAGCAGAGCTCCTGCAAACTGGGGCAGTCCTCCTCCCCAGTCTCTGGAGAATAGGGATGGGGATCTGCTGCTACCTGGACTTCCAAAGGATTTGTTAATAAATATCTCACAAAGTTTCTCACCATCTCTCTCCCACACAGAACAATTCCTCCACAAACTCTCACCTCCTGTGCTTGCATGTATCCTAGGCCATTTACATTTCCCACCCAAATGTGGGCTCACTAAATCAACTTCACACAGTTGATTGGAGTAATAAGGATTTTTAAAGCCTTCTCAGTATAAAACATGTCAAAAACTGAAATACTATCTCACCTTTTAATACACAATAGGACATTAAGAATGAGCTACAATTAGAAAATAAATATGTAATTTTGAGGGATGATTTTAGCATATGCATTAGTGCTAAATACTGGTTTTAATAGATTAAAAATATGTATAAATTTTCACTATCTGCGTTCTTGCATTGCAGAAGGCCACAGAGAATCTGACAATCATGAGCTCCCAGAGTGAGCTTAGTATTCACGCTTCTGTGTGGAGACAAGTGAGCTTTGAACAAGCAAGTAGAGAACAGCAGAGAGCTGGAGACACCCGGGCAGACCTTAATCATGGCCTGGGTAGGGGGTGCAGGCTGCTCACCAGGGCTCCCGGTGGTCGGGCTCAGGGTCTGGGCTCTGACTAACCAGCAGGGTCACCTGAGTCAAGGTCCTTGCCCTTCAAAGCTCAGTTTTCTCACCTGCAAAATGGAGGTGAGGATAGCACCTGCTTCATAAGACGTTTAAAGATGAAATGAAATCACTCGTCTAATAATTGCCATGGTACCAGATACATAGGAAAGGCTCCATAAATGTTAGTCCATGTTCTCATTTGAAATCAAATAAATGTCACGTAGTAGGGGTAAACCCTTAATCAATGACTATTATAATAGTAACAGTGTAGTTATTATTTATTGAATGCTTATTGTATGCCAGACACTGTACTGGGTGAGTCCCATATATTGTCTCATCCAATTCTCGGAACACCACCACTTAATTGGTAATGAAACCAAGTATTAGATGCAAATTAAGTAGCAAGAGATCTACTGTACAACATGGTGACTGTAACTAATTATGTCTTTTATTATTATTATTATTATTTTGAGATGGAGTCTCACTCTGTTGCCCAGGCTGGAGTGCAGTGGTGCCACTTTGGCTCACTGCAACCTCCACCTCCCAGGTTCAAATGATTCTCCTGTCTCAGCCTCCTGGGTAGCTGGGATTATAGGCAAATGCCATCACGCCTGGCTAATTTTTGTATTTTTAGCAGAGACAGGGTTTCACCATATGGCCAGGCTGGTCTCGAACTCCTGACCTCAGGTGATCAGCCCACCTCAGCCTCCCAAAGTACTGGGATTACAGGTGTGAGCCACCACACCCGGCCTAATTATGTGTTTTTGAAAATGGCTAAGAGACACTTTAAGTGTTCTCACCACAAAAAAAAAATTTTAAGTATGTGAAATAGTGCACATGCTAATTAGCTTAATTTAGTCATTCCTCAATGTATGCATATTTCAAAACACATTGTGCACAAGAAATATATACAATTTTTATTTGTTAATTTTTGTAATCTATTAATTTTTTTTTAAAGTGTGCTGCTCAGTGCTCAGTGAGATCCAATCCCCCGGCTGACTGATTCTGAAGCAGGGGCTCTGTTGTGTGTCACTTACACTCACTGAACCTTAGCTGCTTTATCTACAAAAGAGGGAGATATTGGAGGCTGTTGTGCAGATTGAATGAACTGATGTCCTCTGCACACCTGGCTTCCTCACACCTTTCCCCACCTCTGTGAGATTCAGGGTGGCCTCTAGCACAGGGCCAGGGGACTTAGTTTTTACTCCCATTTGAGACTAGCTAGGGGTGAACCCAAAGTCGGGAGCCACATGAACCCCCTCAAAATGCAAAATAAAGGTCAGGAATGCCAAAGAGTTTCCTCTCTCAATTCCTGGCTCAAAGTAGCAGCCAGCTCATGTCCTTGAAGCCCTGGAAAATGAGGAGCACCCCATGTCTCCTTCAAATCAAATGAAACAAAGTGAATTTCTTGTGAAAAGATTCTCTAGAGCAGAAAAACAGTGAATGGGATAAAAGTGGCTTGCCAAAAATAGAACCTCAGGTTCTGAAGCTGTTACAGGCGGGTACATCATACAACAGGACACCTGCTTTCAGAACTGAGGAGAACATGGGTTGGAGGCTGTATTAGGCCGTTTTCATGCTGCTGATAAAGATATCCCCAAGACTGGGCAATTTACAAAGAAAGGTTTAATTGGACTTACAATTCTACGTGGCTGGGGAAGCCTCACAATCATAATGGAAGACAAAAGGCACATCTCACATGACGACAGACAAGAGAAGAGAGCTTATGTGGGGAAACTCCCCTTTTTAAAACCATCAGATCTCGTGAGACTCGTTCACTATAATGAGAACAGCAGAGAAAAGACCCGACCCCATAATTCAATCACTTCCCACTGGGTTCCTCCCATGACACGTGGGAATTGTGGGAGTTAAAATTCAAGGTGAGATTTGGGTGGGGACACAGCTAAATCATATCAGAAGCACCAAGCATTTCAATCACCTTTGCGTCTAGATTTTACAGGTGTAGAGGAGAGGCCTCTTTGCACAGGTGGCCATATTAAATCTACAACGTTTTATTATGCCCAAGTCTGTAGCCAGGGAGCAAGGGGGTGGATCAGGTGCTGCTCATAGGCTCTGCTGTAACTAACAGATCTCTCCGGTTGAATTATTTCCTCTCTCTGGGTTTAGTTTCTGTATAAGATACAGAAATTAGATGTCATGATACCCAAGCTCTTTTCTAGTCTCCATATGTATGATTCCAAATAAATGGTTATAATGGACTGAATAAATGAGATATATGTGGAAAAGCAAATATTTGACCCAGATTTTATCTGAAGGAAATTTGAATGTTGTGTTGGGTAATGCTCTTGTTAACAGTCAAGTTAACAGTCTGCTTCCCATAATGGGCAGCAATGGAGGGAACTAATGTTTCCAGGAAGACAGGCAGCCTGGTAGAGGCCATGGTGGGGCTCCACCATGTCTGAAGCAAGCACTGCATGTCCCAGTCTACTGCTAACAAAGCAAAGGGCCTAGGCAAATTTATGTCCCAGAAGAGGGGAGAGAATTATCTGCAGGAGGCAGAGTTTGGGAGCAATGTCCTAAGGAAGTGTGGTCACTGGGAGTGGGCTCTCTGCTGCAGTCAGCAGCCCCTTGATACCCCAGGGACACCTTGGAGCACCTGGGCAGGCAATAGGATTCCAACCCCAGGTGTGGTGATAGGCCACTATAGAGGGTGGGGTGTGGGAATAGTGAGAATAAGTATCCTCAGTAGAGTGAGCTCCTCTACTAAACAAGTGGCTCACAAACCTGCCTAGTTTTTAGAACACTCCGGGAAGCTTTTTAAAAATCAGATTCCCAGACCCCAGCCCAGTACAAATGTCTAGATGTCTGGCCCAGGAATCTGTATGTTTTTAGGGCCTCCCAAGCATTTTGGATGATGAGCTGGTGAGCATAGAATCTCTTCATAGATGGTGCCTCCCACATTTAACCAAACTCAACAGAAAAATGAAATGGGTACCCTAGGTTTTACTCATTTTCATTTTTTGGAAGAAAGAGAGAAGGTAGCAGAGGTAAAGGGAAATGCGGGACAGAGTTTCAAACCTTCACAAATTATTTCTCAAGAATCCTCCATACTACCAGCCTGGGCAACATGGCAAGACCCCGTCTCTACAAAAAAACACAACAATTAGCTAGGCATGGTGGCATGTGCCTGTCATCCCAGCTACTTGGGAGGCTGAGGTGGGAGGATTACCTGAGCCCAGGGAGGTTGAGGCTGCAGTGAGTCATGACTGCACCATTGCACTCCAGCCTGGGGGACAGAGGGAGAACCTGTCACAGAAAAAAAATAATCCTCCCTGTGGGTGAGTGGAGGAAACTGTGACTCTAGCTTGCGGCCCGGCTTCTCCCAACAACTCTGCTCTTGCCAAGTCCTTCCTAGAGCCCTCCAGCTTCCACTCAGCCAGCCTCAAAACCCAGGTCACCAGTGTCAGCAGGCTGGGAGCAAAGGAACCTGAACTCGTGAGAAGGTGCCTGTCCAAAAATGTCCCCATGCTTGCCACTATGTCTTTTCTTGCCTTATAGTCCAGGAAAACTTACATTGGGAAGACATTTTCACACAACTCAAAGGCAAGACCATATTTCTTAGCCCCCTCTATGGGCATTGGGTCAGCTAAACTATAGAGATTAGAATTGCCCGCTGTAAAATATTTACAAGCTCCCATCTCCAAAACAATACTCTCTATCCTTCCGAAGCTTTTGCACTCAGTCTGTCTGCGTTGGTTCTTTATGAGAGTGTCTGTGTCTCTAGGACCCCAATCACCCACTCTTGCATGTCACCAATCACCCACTCTTGCATGTCATCAAGTGTGTGTCATGGGGTAACCATGTCACAAAATTCTTGGGTCACAAAAATATGAAGGTGTCATCCTGTGCTTAACAACTCTACAACCTATCTTCTCCAACTCTGCCTCTAACACATTGAGCATCTATGATAAACACACTCTCTGTAATGTATAAACAGTACTCACTTCCTTCTTCTACACCTCAGGGAGTAGGACTAAGACAGAGGTTTTAAAGTTGTGTTCTATGTTGACCTAGTTCTGGAACACTGCTGGGGGGTGTTCATGGTGAACAGGGCACTTAACAGGGAAACCCTTCTCCTCCCCACATCAATATTTTTACTTCTTGTATAAATTGTGTAAATTATTTTCTTAATGATATGGTTTCAAAATTACTAGTGCAGATGATATATAAGGTTCTTTCCAGAGTTTGCCTTCTATAGTTTTGAGATCATATTTGGAGGAGCTTTGAGTAAAGAAGACTTGGGTTGAGGACAGAGGTAAGACAGAACCATTGTAAGAAACCGTCTTAAAGCTACAAATGCTGAAAGGAAAGTACTAGTTTTGAGTTACTCTCTTGAAACTAAGCATGGGCAGAGGATAGGAAAATGTCCAAATGCTTTCACATTACCAGAATAGATTTGAACGATCACCTGGCAGCTTCCAAAACTACAGGTGTTAATGTGGTTGTTTTTATCAGTTGGCACTCGTCAAAAGAAAATCTGATGTGTTCCTTATTAGGTAAATGCTGACATGCGCATTCCATAATTAAATTATTCATCATTTTCTTATTCTAAGTGTCTAAGTATGCCCAGTGTATTTGTTCATTTTCATGCTTCTAATAAAGACATACTGAAAACTGGGAACAAAAAGAGGTTTAATTGGACTTACAGTTCCACATGACTGGGGAGTCCTCAGAATCATGGCAGGAGGTGAAAGGCACTTCCTACATGGTGACAGAAAGTAAAAATGAGGAAGAAGCAAAAGCTGAACCCCCTGACAAACCCATTAGATCTCGTGAGACTTATTCACTATCACCCAAATAGCATGGGAAAGACTGGCCCCCATGATTCTACTACCTCCCTCTGGGTCCCTCCCAACACATGTGGGAATTCTGGGAGATACAATTCAAGTTGAGATTTAGGTAGGGACACAGTGAAACCATATCACCCAGATATTTAATAGTAATCAAATACTTAAATATTTGATCTGTTTACATAACTTCCCAGGAAACAGCATGTCTTTATGTTTTACAAAGCAGAAATAGTGGGGCTTAAAATAATACAGACATTAATTTTTTACATTTTCTAAATTGTCTTTGTGTTGAGAATTAGCTTGTTGAATAGTTGTGATTATGTAAATTTTAGGCAGGGATTCTCTGTCTTCCAATGTCACACTGCAATGCAAATTATCAGACTGCAATAGATTTGCCAGCATTATTGGTCTTATATTACTTACACAATTTTCAGAAATAAGAAAACATACAGATTGGTAGAAGTGTTCCAATTGCCATAACTGTAAAGGCCAAGTTTCTGAAGCTCATGGCACTCTCCTTCCTTTTTATTCTCTTGAATGGACAGTATTCAGGAAATGGCTTTCATTTCATGGAAGATTCAATCATTCTGACAAGACAGTCTTTTTTCCCACTTATGACAACATGCATAAAATGAAAATGAGAGTAAAAAATTGATTTTGACTAAAAACTAAATGGGCAAGTGTAATTAGCATCTTGAATGCAGTAAGGGCTTCTATGCCCTTCACCTTCATCTATCCAAACTGTCCTGTCAGAGCATCCCCTGCCCGGCCCTGGCCCACATCCAAGGCTGCACATGCCTGTGGAAGCAGCATGGGGGCAGAGGGCAGTGGGTCCCAGCTCAGGCAGTGGCTGGGAGCACGGATGTGGCTTGAGCTCAGTCATGCTGTGAGGGTGGCCCACGTATCGCGATCCATGTGGGGGCCCCAGCCAGACTCTACCTGCATGTGCAGCTGGTTTCCAGGTTCTATTCCTAGTCTCAGTTCTTTCCTCTTTACCCAGAAACTGGAAAATAAACCCTGCCAGGGTCCTGGTTCCTGTCGCTGTCCTCTGGGGCTCCTCCAGGCCACCGTGACAGGGCCCACTGGCTGTGCCAGGTTCTACCACAGCTGGGTCCGAAGGTGCTGCACACAGGATGCCACGTGCACTCCCTTGGGTCAGTAGATGCCGAATCCAGAATTTCAAATTGACCTGAGGGGAGGGTGTTGAAGCTGCATTTCCGCCCTTCCTGGTGGATCCCTCTGTCTCCTGTCTTCTCCACGCTTCCTGGTTTGTGCAAGGGTTTCCTTCGTCAGTAGAGATAGCATGGGCCACTTTACATGGTCCATGTTTTCTGATCCTAGTGATAAGAAGAGGAATTGGGAAGATATATAAAGTACTTCATGGAGCTTAAATAATTCTTTCACGTGAATTAACTCATTTTTTTCTTCACACACACTAAAAGGCTGAGGATGCAGATAGAAGAAAGAAATGGCATTTATTGAGGATGCCTACTCTGTGCCAGTTGTATTTTTAGTCCTTATAGCAATACTGCTAAGAACACATCCCTTCCATTTCACAGAAGGATAAACTGCCACCCACAGGGTGAAGGAGTATGTCCACAGTCAGGGCTGTGGTGAGTGACAGCTCAACTAGAATGCAGCTCTCCATCCTCCAAATAGCATGATTTTCCTGCTTTATATGTCTGCACTCGTCATCCAAATGTCACTGGATGAAAGCATCCGCAGTCTTCACCAGCTGGTGTCTTTGGCCCCTACTATGAACCTACTCATGCCTGCAGCTCAAGGAAGTTTCCAGAAAGCCTCCAACACAAGTGAGGAAGCTAAGGTTATGACAGGCTGTCTGAGCATAGGGAAAGACAGAAATTTAGCCTCTGAGCCCTCTGGGCACAGATGGCATCTGAATATCTTCCACCCTAAGGAAGCCCTGTAGGCCATGGGAGAGCCCTGTAGGCCCCTGGCAGCCTTTGGTGCCAGGGCTGAGGCCAAGAGGTGGGGGAGTTATGTTACCCAAAGGAAGTATAGTCAGGAGTAGATTCCCACTCCTGTTTAGTAGACAGCCCATCTAAACCAAAGTGAGTGGATAGCCAAAAACTCAGGAGACCATATGCCAGTGCCAAGATCACAGGGTGACACTGAGCTGGCTGCAGCAGGCACAGTGAGCAGGACAGTGCCTTGCTGGACAGGACACATCACACCTGCCTGAGGGCAGCATCCAGAGAGTTAGGAAGCCCCCCGGCCTCCACTTCTCACCCCAGAATCTAGTCATAGCAGTTTGAATAGTTGGGGAAGTAAGTAGGTGAGAAGAGAAGTCTGGAGGTGTATTTTTGGGAGAAAGAAGAGTGAGTGGGCTCCTAGGATTGAGTGGGTGTTGGGAGTTCAGGGTTGCCTTTTCCCTTTGGCTCCAGGGAACTGCTGCTGGATTTGAGCTCTGCAAAAAAAAAAAAAAAAAAAAAAAATGCTGACTCTGGATTCAAGGGAGGCACAAAGGGACCCAGGAAGGCCTGATTCACAGGGTTCCATTCCCAGGTCCCCTTCCCTTCCGCCAAGGCCAGAGTTCAGGTTGAAATGTGAGGCAAGTTTCCTGGCTTCCTCACCTGACTGTACTTGGAGCTAAAAGCAAAGCCATGCCTCCAACAGCCATGAGCAGGAGAAACGCACGATTCCCAGGACAACTGTGGCTACGATTTGAGTGCCAGCACGAAATAGGAGCAGCTTAATGGCTGGAGAAGAAGACTTTGAAGAGCTCTCTGCTGCTTTTTAAATAAAAATTTGCAGAGGGAGATTATGACTAAGAGAGTGGGTAACCAGAGGCTGACCTGGAGCCCCCAGGAGTCATGCGCACGCTGCCTTTTGATGACGATGCCAGCATGAAGAGGTGGCCTACCCACAGCCCTGCATCCATTCTGTCCTCGCCTTGATAAAAATCAGTCACTGACCAAGAAAATCAGGGGTGATCTACAGGAAAAAGGGAGAGAAGACTAGCTTAGCCTGTAACCTGAGTAATGAATCTAATACCTGCTTCCATAAAAAAGAAAGAATTGTTTCTTTACCTTGTTTCCTCAGCCTGCAAACCTGGCAATGGGGGAACTCTCTAAAGTCAACCTGAACAGCACAGAGATCATCCCTGCGAACACAGGAAGGCCCCCCTTCGTATAAATCAGCAAAAGAACATCTACGTTCCCAGGAGAGTCTAGTTGATTTATAAAACAGTGACTAATGGGCCCATGCAGAAAGAATCCTAAAAGAGAAAAATGTAGAACGGTTTCACCATTAACAAAACAAACATTCATCAACTACGCTTCATGTTAGGAAAAGGCAGTTTCACTATATTTACTAATATCTAATATCTATAAATTTTCAAGATTTTCCCTCCATCCTGTTTCTCGGCTTGTGGGCTCCAACTCCACAGACTCAGGGTTCCAACTCCTTAGGCTCAGGTGTCTTCCCTCCCTGGTGGGCCTGGCTCTGCCACCTGGCATCGGCCTTCCTGATCCAGACCCTCCTCCCCAGCATGTCATGTCCCCCTGTGACTCCCACCTACACTGCCCACTGCATCATGCCAGGTCTGAATGGTTGGGAGAGCAGCCCATCCCATCCCTGGCCCCTCACCCATACTCTACCTCCCTAATTCCTCACTCAAAGAGCTCACTCAGGTCAGCTGGTTCCTCGTGCCCTCCATGCCACTGCCTTCATTTCCTTTGTCCTCTAAGAACTCTTCATGAACGTATCCCCCCAAATTCATATTTCAAATCCTAACTCTAATTCATATTTGGAATCATAACCCTCAAACTCATATTTGAAATCCTAATCCTGATACCCTAATATGAGGGTATTGAGAGGTGGGGCCTTTGGGAGGTGATGAGGGTGGAGCCCTCACAAATCAGGTTAGTGCTCTTATAAAAGAGACCCCAGAGAGCTGCCCCACTCTTCCACCATGTGAGGACACAGCCAGAAGCCACTGTCTGTGAAGAACAGCCCCTCCCCAGACACCAGATCTGCTGGTGCCTTGATCTTGGGCTTCTAAGCTTCCAGAACTAGAAGCCATAAATTTTGTTTTTTACAAGCCAACCAGTGCATGGTGTTTTGTTACAGAAGCCTGAATGGGTTAAACAGTTAACCCATCACTCTCTCACACCATCCCCTCAGTGTTCCAGGCATGTTCCAACTGAATGGCTGGCAGGAAAGCCTATAATTGGATTTGATTTATTCGCTTCTCAAACATTTGAAAACACAAACACAATGCCAAGTGCTGTCCTCAGGGGCACAGTCTGGTGAGTGACACCAAGACTCAGCTCTCAGAAGAACTGTGAGGACACAGGGTGGGGACTGAGGTGGAACCCAGGCGCAGAGGTCAACTCGCTGATTCTAGGGCTCTGTGTGGATCTTGGCCCACATGCAGCTTCTAGCAGGACTTGGTGGCTGGCTCTTGTGGCACATGAGTGGAGAGGACACTGGAGCACAGGTACTGGGAGGCAAGGTTCCTGAGCATCAGATGAAGAATTAACGTGAGGGTGGATTAACATGCGGGTTACATTCTGTAAATTAGAGGGTTATCCCATGATAACCCTCCAACTTATAGAAAACGAAACTGCAGGTGAAGAAGTTAAGTGACTTACACCATCTCATAACCAGTGAGGGTCAGTCCACAATTTAAAGCCAGAGTTTCTAACTCCAAATCCTGTGTTCAGAAACTGGAAGGAGAAACAAATCCAGCGATGGATGGCTACAGGATAGCGTGACGCCTCCACCAGCCACATAGTCCAGCACAGCACGGTCGGTGTCAGGTTCACAGCTACACAAAATGTCATGCTGAGGTCCGAAGGGAGTGGGGGGATGAGCAGAAAGAACTCTGGGGTGGTGGGGGCTGGCCGTAGGCAGGTGAAAGATGATTTTATTTGGCAGCAGCTCTCATCAACAGCTTTCTCACACTGTCCGCCCTGTCTCAGCTGCTTGAGTCGGCTGTGGCTCCTTTCAGCAGCTGGCTCTCCGTTGCCATCAGGGTCATCAGCTTAACTCTCTTTTTCTGGGCACCAGCAAGCCGAGCTGTGTCCTGGCTCCCTCCTGTCCGTCTGCAAAGATGGACAACTTTGGCTCTCTCTCTTTCTCTTGGTGTGAGCACCTGCACAGTGTCAACAGGGCAACTATACCTTTTACAGAAAATAGTGGCTTAGAGCCAAGTGATAACCATTACCTATGTTATGGCTGTGGTGGTGAGCTTCTCTACGTTATGTCTACACGGTTATGATAACAAGTGGAGTTATACGCCCGCACTCTAGACTTGCTGAGTCACTCTGGATGTTTACCTCAGCCTATCCTTGACCAAAGCACAGCCCTTAACTTACAGCCGGGGCTGAATTTTCTGCCATGTCTGCTTTCAGTTTTCCTGACAGCAGCTTGGTTTATAACAATTATTTCACAGTAAAGCCTATTAATTACAGTCCCACCTCCTTTGGGAGCTCATGCTTAACCAAGCAGAAGTGAGGACTTACTGCTACCCTGGCCTGACTCCCTGCCCACAGTCAAGCCCACACAGGAGATACATATCACCAAACAAACCACCAGGAACAAAACCCACGTGAAGTGCCAGTGGCTGTAGATTTGTTTGGAGCTGCTCTCCATTCATAAGCTCAATGAAAAGGCAGCAGCAGGTAGTGGAGAGAATGCAGGATTCAGACTCAGAAACCCTGGCTTTAAGTTCCTGACTGACCCTCATTTGTTGTGAGATACCATAAGACACTTAACTTCTTCACCTGCAGTTTTCTCTTCTACAAATTGGAGGGACATCACTGGACCCATGTTAATCCTTCATTTGAAGCTTGGTGGATATGGTTTGGATGTGTCCTCACCAAAATCTCACCTTGAATTATAATAATCCCCACATGTCAAGGGCGGGGCCAGGTGGAGATAATTGCATCATGGGGGTGGTTTCCCCTGTACTATTCTCATGATAGTGAATAAGTCTCCTGAGATCCGATGGTTTTATAAAGGGGAGTTCCCCCCACAAATGCTGTCTTGCCTGCTGCCATGTAAGACATGACTTTGCTCCTCATTTGCCTTCTGCCATGACTGTGAGGCCTTCCCTGCCATGTGGAATTGTGAGTCAATTAAACCTCTTTCCTTTATAAATTACCCAATCTCAGGTATCTTCATTAGCAGCATGAGAACAGAATAATACAGTAAACTGCTACCAGTTAGTGGGGTGCTGCTCTAAAGATACATGAAAATGTGGAAGCAACTTTGGATAGCAGGCAGAGGTTGATACAGTTTGGAGGACTCAGAAGAAGGCAGGAAGATTTGGGAAACTTTGGAACTCCCTGGAGACCAGTTGAATGGCTTTGACCAAAATGCTGATAGTGATATGGATATTAAAGTCCAGGCTGAGGTGGTCTCAGATGGAAATGAGGAACTTACTGAAAATTGGAGCAAAGGTGACTCTTTCTATATTTTAGCAGAGAGACTGGTGGCATTTTGCCCCAGCCCTAGAGATTTGTGGAACTTTGAACTTGAGAGAGATAATTTAGGGCATCCGATGGAAGACATTTCTAAGCAGCAAAGCATTCAAGAGGTCACCTGGGTGTGTTAAAAGCATTCGATTTTATGTATTCACAAAGATATGGTTTGGAATTAGAACTTATGTTTCAAGGAAAAGCAGAGCACAAAAGTTTGGAAAATTTGTAGCCTGATGAGGCAATAGAAAAGAAAAACCACTTTCTGAGGAGAAATTCAAGCTGGCTAAAGAAATTTGCATAGGTAGCAAGGAGCCAAATGTTAATCACCAAGACAATGGGGAAAATGTCTCCAGGGCAAGTCAGGGTTTTCCAGGGCAGCCCCTCCCACCACAGGCCCAGAGGCCCAGAAGGAAAAAATGGTTTTGTGGGCCTGGCCCAGGGCCTTGCTGCTTTGTGCAGTCTAGGGAATTGGTGCCCTACATCCCAGCTGTGGCTAAAATAGGCCAAGGTAGAGCTCAGGCCATTGCTTCAGAGGGTGCAAGACCCAAGCCTTGGCAGCTTCCATGTGGTGTTGAGCCTTTGGGTGCATAGAAGTCAAGAATTGAGGTTTGGGAACCTCTGCCTAGATTTCAGAAGATGTATGGAAATGCTGGTTGTCCAGACAAAGGTTGCTGCAGGGGCAGAGCCCTCATGGAGAACCTCTGCTAGAGCAGTGCAGAAGGAAAATGTGAGGTGAGAGACCCACACACAGAGTCCCCACTAGGGCACTACATAGTGGAGCTGTGAAAAGAAGGCCACCATCCTCCAGATCTGTTGCGGGAAGTCAGGGACCCTGAACGGAGGGACCGACTGAAGCTGCGGCAGAAGAACATAAATTGTGAAGATTTCATGGACACTTATCACTTCCTCAATCAATACTCTTATAATTTCCTATGCCTGTCTTTAATCTCTTAATCCCATTGTCTTCATAAACTGAGGATGTATATAACTTCAGGACCCTGTGATGATTGCACTATTTGTACAAATTGTTTGTAAAACATGTGTGTTTGAACGATATGAAATCTGGGCACCCTGAAAAGCAACAGGATAACAGCAATTTTCGGGGAACAAGGGAGATAACCATAAGGTCTGACTGCCTGTGGGGCCAGGCAGAACAGAGTCATATTTTTCTTATTGCAGAAAGCAAATAGGAGAAATATCACTGAATTCTTTTCCCAGCAAGGAATAACCCTGGGAAAGGAATGCATTCCCAGGGGTGGATCTATGGACAGCCACTCTGGGAGTGTCTGTCTTATGCAGTTGAAGATAAGGGATGAAATATGCCCTGGTATCCTGCAGTGCCCTCAGGCTTACTAGGATTGGGAAATTCCAGCCTGGCGAATTCTAGTCAGACCAATTGTCTACTCTCGGACCCTGTTTCCTGTTAAGATGTTTGTCAAGACAATACATGCCCAGCGGGACATGTAACCTGATCAGTAATTCTAATTTTGCCCTGGCCTTGTGATCTTGCTCTGCCCTTCTGCCCTTGTGATCTTTTATTGCCCTTTGAAGCATGTGATCTTTGTGACTTACTCCCTGTTCGTACCCCCCTCCCCTTTTGAAATCCCTAATAAAAACTTGCGGGTTTTGCGGTTCAGGGGGCACCACAGAACCTACCAATAGGTGATGTCACCCCTAGAGGCCCAGCTGTAAAATTTCTCTCTTTTGTACTCTTTCTCTTCATTTCTCAGACTGGCTGACACTTAGGGAAAATAGAAAAGAACCTACGTTGAAATATTGGGGGCTGGTTCCCCTGATACAGATCCACTGACAGCTTGCACCCTGCACCTGGAAAAGCTGCAGATACAACACCAGCCCATGAAAGCATCCAGGAGTGGGGCTGTACCAAGCAAAGCCACAGGGGTATAAATGCCCAATACCATGGAAACCTACCTCTTGCATCAGCATGACCTGGATATGAGACATGGAGTCAAAGGAGATCATTTTGGATCTTTAAGATTTGACTGCTGGATTTCAGACTTGCATGGGGCCTGTAGCCCCTTCATTTTGGCCAATTTCTCCCATTTGGAATAGCTGTATTTACCCATTGCCTGTACCTTCATTGTATCTAGGAAGCAACTAACTTGCTTTTGATTTTACAGACTCACAGGTGGAAGGGACTTGCCTTGTCTCAGATGAGACTTTGGACTTGGACTTTTGAGTTAATGCTGAAATAAGATTTTGGGGGACTGTTGGGAAGGCATGATTGGTTTTGAAATGTGAGGACATGAGATTTGGGAGGGGCCAGAGGCAGAATGATACAGTTTTGCTGTGTCTCCACCAAAATCTCAACTTGAATTGTAATAATCCCCACATGTCAAGGGCAGGGCCAGGGGGAGATAATTGAATCATGGGGCAGTTTCTTCCCTACTTTTCTCATGGTAGTGAATAAGTCTCATGAGATCTGATGGCTTTATAAAGAGGAGTTCCCCTGCAAAAGCTCTCTTGCCTGCCACCATGCAAGACATCACTTTGCTCCTCATTTGCCCTCTGCCATGATTGTGAAGCCTCCCCAGCAATGTGGAACTGTGAGTCAATTAACCCTCTTTCCTTTATACATTATCCAGTCTTGGGTATGTCTTTATTAGCAGTGTGAGAACAGACTAATACAGTGGAACATGAAGATGTGTTCTGAGTTGGGCAGCTCTGTTCACATGTGGTCTTAATCATTAATCCTGGGAATGAAATAAACTCACAGTGTAGACCCCTGGACAATTATTTTTGTTCCATAATTTCACTTTATGCCTGAAACAGCATGATGCTCAATTTCATGTGCCAGCTTGGCTGGATCATGGGAGCCTGTAGTAAACATTTCTGAGTGTGTCTGAGAGGGTGTTTCTGGAAGAGGTTAGCATTTGAATTCGTGGACTCAGTAAAGAAAGTTCCCTCCCAGCACAAGTGGGCATCATTTAATCTGCTGAGGGCCTAAACAAAATGCAGAGGAAGGGAGAATCCTGGCTCCTCCTGCCTGCCTATTGAGCTGGAACCTGGGTCTTCTCCTGCCTGTGGATGAGGATTTACACCATCCACTCCCCCAGTTCTCAGGTCTTTGGACCCAGACTGAGTCACACCAGCAACTCTCCTGGGTCTGCACCTTGCACACAGCAGATAGTGGGACTTCTCAGCTCCATAATCACATGTGCTAACTCCCACTGTGTGTGTGTGTGTGTGTGTGCGTGTGTTATCTCCCATCGGTTCAATTTCTCTGGAGAACCCCTACTAATACAAACATATTGAAGATGACATCTCCCCCATGTTTAAACCTTCCAAACTCCAAAAGTTTTGCCTTTGGGGAGCAGACACGCAGCAGCAGGAGGAAGCCCTCCTTTTTTCTCCATGTCTCTAGAAAGTAAGTCATTTCTCTTCCCTGTGTCCTCCCTGCCCTGTTGTGGGTGAGAAGGAGCCGCCACATCCAGGCCTCCTTGCTGAGCATCTGGCTGAGGGCAGGGGAGGAAGGACTAACTGCTTGAGTGAGGCTCCTTAACTTCCAGGTGGTCTGAAGAGCCGCGCATGGCAAGGAGCTTCTTCACAGTCAGGGAAACACTGACTCCAAATGGAAAGAGCCCATCGCAGTCCACCTGGACATCCTTGCACTTGATTGCAACCTCTGTGGGGCTGTTATAATCAGAGCGCAGCCAGCCTCGGGGTAGAGGTATCTACCGCCCACAGTCTCAGCTCCAGACCTGCTCAGTATTTTGCACAGGTGAAGCGGTCAAGGCTACAGCAGCCAAGTGAGATCCTCAAACGTTCCTCATACTGGCACATTTCCAAATGCCTCTCCCTGGCTTAATGCCCCCTATGATCTGACTCTGCAATGCCATAATTCCCTCACCTCTGAGCAACCTAAAGTAACTTTTTAACTTCAGCCCAAACAGCTGGTTGACCAGCAGTGGTTGCAGGCTTCCTGACATATTTTTCCAAGTTATAATAATGACTTTAGCCGGTTGTTCCTATTCAGAAACTAAAATCTCACATAGAACCCAGAAAACCCTCATGCATCTTCACCTCTTAAGAATGACTGATTCTTTATATGCTCACTAACTAGGAAAATGTTTTCGCTTTATTTTTCGAGTTTATGTTTACACACACAAAACTGTTTTCAAAAAATAACTTTAAATCAAAATGTTTAATATATTAAAAGTGCAGATGCCTGAACATGTGCCTAGATAACGTCCCAACGCAACAGACCAACTGTGTCCTGCAATAAACTGAAACAGTGTGCATGGTACATGATGTCCTTCAGGAGCTTCCCCACGTCTTAGCTGAGTTAGTACTCATGTGGTTCTGTGGGGTTTTGCTGGATGACTCTTGTCTACTGGGCTCTCAGCATTCAGGCGTACCTCTTGCACTCACTCATCACTCCCCACTGTCTTCCCCCACCCCACCCCACCGCCACTACTTCAGGAGTTCTAAGACTAAAATCTAAATTTCCCGGGCCCTCTGATGGCTCAGTTCCTGGATACAGCTTAGGTTCTGCAACGAGATGCAGCTGCAGGTGGAGGTGAAGGCCACTTCCCAGCTGTTCTTCTGCTTGACCAGTGTGCTTATTTCCTAGGGCTGCAGTGACGAAGCACTGGCTATGAACTGCAGTGTGTTCCCCAGAACTCTTATGCTGACGCTCTAACCCCCAACCCCAATGTGATGGTATTAGGAGGTGCAGCCTGTGGGAGGCAATTAGGTTGAGATGAGGCCATGAGGGGTGGCTCCCAGGAGGAGATTAGCGCCCTTATAAGGAGACACTACCAGAACTCCATTCCTCTGTCTCTCTCTGCCATGTGAGCTTTCTGCAGCCAGGCTGGGATTAGTACCTCATAAAATAGCTGGAGGGGACCGACTAGGTGCTCTTAACCTTCTGCCTTCCGCCATGCAAGGATGCAGTGTTCACCCCTTCTGTTATGAGAAGACGCAGCAACAAGGCACCAACCTGGAAGCAGAGGGCAGTCCCTGCCAGACACATAACCTGCCAGCACTTCGATTGTAGAGTTCCCAGCCTCCAGAAATGAAAAGAATAAATGTCTGTTTTTATAAATTACTTAGTCTCAGGTATTTTGTTATAGCATCAGGAACAGACTAGGACAATTAATCACCAATTACTGTGCAATACAAAGAAATATTGCACATCTCTTTTATCCAATGCATCAACAAGCCCCACAGCTCTGCCTCCCAGACACGTCCTGACCATCAATTACTTCTCCATTGTCACCCTTTCAAGGCCCCATCATCTCTCATTCAGACACGGCCCCAACTCTTTCACTCTCTGGGGACATAGATTGCATTATGTCAATCACTCGTCTAAATCTCCCAGTGTCTTCACGTTGCCTCTAGACCAAGATGTCGAGGACTTGCTGGAACCTACAGAGTCCTACACGACCTGGCCCTGGCCCCATCACTCATTGCTCTGTTCTTCAAACCACCAAACATGTTTCTGCTGCTTCCACTACCTACTGTTCCCTATCGCATCCACAGGTGCGGGCTGGCTCCTTCACATTATTCAAGGCTGATATCATCTCAGAGAGGCCTTCCTTAGCCACCCAAATTAAAATAACTCCCTCCCCTACCAAGAGTCACTATCCACCCCATTTCTCCACTTTTTGTCCTCACAGCTGATGGCACTGCCTTTGGCTTCAATAGCAAGACCTCTCTTGCCCTGTTCGCAGGGTCTGGAATAAAAACGTGTGGAACGAATCAATCAACAAAAATCCCCTAACTCTAATGAGCTGGTCTACTAGGGAAAGCAAGAGATGCAAGCAAGTAAGACAATTTTCAAGGGAGTTTACGACCAAGTGAGAAGTGTGAACAAGTTTTGTTGAACTCAAAAATATTTAAAAAATACATCTACACCAAAAAAGAAAATAAGCATCATGGTATAGTTTAAATCTTGTACAAATGAGTTCTAGAAGGGTCTAATGGACATCACAAAAAGGCCTATAATGGCCACATAAAAATTGGCTTACAAAGGCCACCAAACCCAAAAACTACTTACACAGTTGCCCTGGAGAGGGCAGATACTCACGTTAATGAGGAACTTTGATGAACAGGAAAAATAGACTAGTGGTGTTGATACACAGTTCTGTCGTGACGCTCTGATTGCCGATTCAGGGTACAGATTACTGACCCAAAGACAGACGTGCATCTGGTTTGAGGGTTGCTGAACAAGTATCTGGAAATGGGCATCCATACACTTAAAAATAATTGAAGAGGAGATTAATATACATGCCCCCCTCTGTGCTGTCCTCAAAACACAGCACTCATGGCAATCGGCGATACAAACAACCCCTCGTCTTACATTTACAAACACTTCTGCTAAGTTTATCCCTCTGGTTTTTACCATGTCCTTGTACCTGGTGTGAGGCAGATAAAATTATGCCCATTTTACAAGTGAGAGAAACTGAGGCTCTAAGAGATTAAAAGGCAGTCTGAGAGTCAGAATCAACACAGGAAGATAAGTTGGAAGAGCTAATTTGCATCAGAAATTTAATTTAAATCTAGAACTTCTAGCCTTAACTCTGGTACTTTTTCCAGTGGTAATTTCCAGAAGTTTTCTTATTTTTCTGTCCCCCTAAACACAGTCTTTGATTCTAAGAGAAACTGGCAATAGCCAACTAGACGCCTGGAGGCATCTGATTCCAGAGTCACATTCCACTACCCTTAGTTATCCATGGAACTACCTTCCACCTCCAGGAACCATGGCTGCCAGTGTCTCTAAACAGCTCCTTTGCTTTTCTGACAACAGCCCTGGTGTCAGATGACTGACAGGAGATGTCTGCCACTGCCTGTCATGGGTGCACATTACTGGAGAGGAGAGATGATGACAGACTGAGCTCTGTGCTCCTCCCAAGCTCCTCACTGGGCTGTGCACCTAAAGCCTGTCAATCAGAGTTCACTTGAATAAACTGCACTGGAACCAGAGAATGAATGTGCCAAGTATGCACTGAGGAGCCACTTGCTTAATAACCAATCTGAAACATGGGACAGAGAGGAGACTGTCATAGAATTTCCTCGCTAAAGTCTCATCCCACTGCAACCACCTCCAGTGGACTTCTCACTGGTAAAAGGCCGTGGTTCTTTGGAACAGGTTCCTGCTGCCTTGCAGATTAGGAATTTAAAATTTATCTGTAACATTCATATTTATATATAATATATACCATATATCACATATTTATAATTATATGCAAGTATACAATTATATAACATACAACATAATTATAATCATAGATAACACTACATATATATATACAGATTCCTGGGTGCTACCTCATCATGATCTCTGGGCAGCTATACGTTTTAAGAGCCGGTCCAGTGGTGATGTGGTTTGGAAGTCAATGATTTAGTGAACTCTTGGTATTGTACATCAAGAATGACACAGCATACTGCAACCATCTAAGAGATTCCCCCAAAGCCATTATTATGTTATATGTGAGAAAGAGCTAACCAGGACATTTGGAAACTGAAGTTAGGATCTATCTAGTTATAGGCAGTGACAGGTAGAAAATAGTTTTCTCTGAGGAAACTTTCAGGGAGACCATGATTGGGTGCCCCTTCTGTATTTTTGTGACTTCTCTAATCTTGCAAATAAGTTTCCTCTTGCATCTGATGCTGACTGGTTGATAAGCATTCTGGGGTGATGGGCATATTCAGCAGAGAGCATGAAAATTGTGTCTGTCCTACTGCCAGGATATGGAAGGGGCCAACAGAATGAGGAGCAAACTGAAGGGGACAGTCCTCCTGAAATTGGGCAGCCTTGATTATTATTCTTGTATTAATTACTACTGACCTTAAAAATTAAGGCTGAATCAGATGCTTGCACACCAATGTTCACTGCAATTCATTACACACAGTAGCCAAAAGGCAGAAGAAGCCAAGAGTCCATCAGCAGATGAATGGATCAGCAAAACATGGTCTATCCATGCAATGGAATATTATTCAGCCATGAAAAGGAATGAAGTTCTGACACACGCTACCACATGGGTGAAGCTTGAGGACATTATGCCAAGTGAAATAAACCAGTTACAAGGAGACAAACATTGTAGATCACACTTATGTGAAATATCCAGAATAGGTCAAGTCACAGAAACAGAAAACACATCAGAGGTTATGAGGTGGTTGAGGAGAGGAGGAAACGGGGAATTGTTTAATGAATGGAGGATTTTTGTTTGGGATGATAAAAAAAGTTTGAAACTAGACAGTGGCGGTGGCTGCATAATATTGTGAATGTAATTAATGCAACAGAAATAGGTGAATGGAAAATTTTGTTACATATATTTTATGATACATTTAAAACTTAATAAAAATACTGAAAGACACTGAATTAGACACTTTAAATGAGTGAATTGTAAAGTATGTGCATTTTATTTCATGAAAGCTGTTAAAATGATGATTGACTGTTGAGGTTCAGCATGAAATACAATGTTTAACCCTTGGTCCAGTGTTCTGGATGTTGGGTATAAAAATATCCTCTCAGTTTTAAAAATAACAAGGAAATCCCTTCCAGATGCAATTATTAGTTTGAAAACATAATCGTGTACTGCCTTGGCTTTTAGAATTTGTATTAGTCTGTTTTCATGCTGCTGCTAAGGACATATCTGAGACTGGACAATCTACAAAAGAAAGAGGTTTAGTGGACTCAGAGTTCCACATTGCTGGGGAGGCCTCACAATCATGGCGGAAGGAGAAAGGCACATCTCACATGGTGGCAGACAAGAGAAGAGAATGAGAGCCAAGCAAAAGGGGTTTCCCGTTATAAAACCATCAGAGCTTGTGAGAATTACTCACTACCACGAGAACAGTAAGGGGGAAACGACCCCCATGATTCAACTATCTCTCACCAGGTCCCTCCAAACGAGGGAATTATGGGATCTACAATTCAAGACAAGATTTGGGTGGGGATACAGCTAAACCATATCAGAATTGGTGCATACAGAGGCGCTTAACCTCACAGGCAGGACTTCATGGGACGTTCATTCAAACTGTGTCAGAAACACAGCGTGCCCGGCGCTTTCATTCCACAGTTGCTGGAGAGGCCTACTAAGCCCCACACTGATTCCAAGAGAGGCTGTTATCTAGGAAAACGTTCAATCATGTGTTTTATATTTGATTCATTTGAAAAATTATTTTTCAGAAATTTGTTCCCAAGTAACCAAGGGAGTGTCACCTGGGTGCCTTGTGTCATGGAACAAGTGTGATTTTTCTACTGAATATTAGTACTAGATAATTGTGTCCTTACCTATCCTCAGAGTTCACTCAAAAAAATATGCAATAGGTGGAAAATCAAAGAAGTCAAAATACGCGGAAAGTGAATGTGGCAGTGCTGAGGCAGCCCTCAGGTCGTCAGAGAATGCCCAACACCAAAAGCTTCCCTGGGACAACATGGTGCCGAGGACTGAGCCCCTGTGTCCTGATGCCAGCACCAGTTGCTGCTCTGATTGGGTTTCTTACAACCCATAACAAAGCCCCAGTAATCCCTTCCTTAGGGTGCCAAAGAGTTTTTAATTATTTTATAACCTGAAAGGGCAGCCTCTTTGCACGGGCAAATGCAAACTCCACAGACATAACTGTTTCTGGGCACAAGATAATGTGAATGAAGCCAGTCACCAGTGCCAAGGGTCTCATACCCTTTACTGTAGGGGTTCCAGATGTATGCCACTCCCTCAACCACAGGAGTCATTACACGCACATGCCAGTTCCTGGGGATGGTAACAAGTGAAATGGAGGCAGCTCCTTAAACAATGGAACACCTAATGCTGCATCATTAGTCTGCTAACTTTTGCAACCCGTTCTTCCTCTAAGCCTTTGCAAGGTGTCTTTCTGAAGCCAGGCTTCATTGTGGGTATCGAGAACCTGATGGTAACAAACATAAAAAATCTCTGCCACACAGTAGTTATAGCATACAGCATTAGCTAAATGACAGCAATGAGTCACATGGCTGATTCTCCCCATGTCCGGGCTGCTCAAGCTGCTTAGGATGTGCTGGGGAGAGGAAGACAGGGATAGGTGGGGAACTGGTGAATGAGCAGGGCAGCAAAGCATCTGCAGGAAACCAGCTTATTTAAGGATTCCTGCACCCCATGTTCATCGCAGCAATATGCACAATAGCCAAGATATGGAATCAACCTAGGTGTCCATCAACAGATGAAGAGGTGATGAAAATGTGGCACATATACGCAGCGGAGTGCTATTCAGCCGTGAAAAGTAGTGAGATCTTGTCATTTGTGGCTACATGAATGAGCCTGGGGGTTCTACGTTAAGTGAAGTAAGTCAGGCGCAGAAGGTTACATACAACAGTTTCCCACTAATGTGCAGAAGCTAAAGAAGTGAGTCCAGGGAGGTAGAGAGAAGAATAGTGGTTCCCAGGGGCTGGGAAGGTTGCGGGGAGAAGCGAAGAAAGGAGGCAGGTTAATGGGTACAAAAGTACATTAGATGGGAGGAATAAACTCTAATGTTCAATAGTGCCATTGGGTGACTAGTGTTAACAGTAATTTATTGTGTATTTCAGGATAGCTAGAAGAGATTTGGAATGCTTCCAACACATGGTAATGATAAATGTTTGAGGTGATGGATATCCTAAATACTCTTATTTCATGGTTACACATTGTATGGATTTATCAAAATATCTATAGACATGTAGTCTATAAATATGTACAGTTATTACATATTGATTTTAAAAAGTGACTGCAGGAAGGAAGGAGTCTTTAGACATTGGAAGTTTCACCTCAGGAGGTCAGTAAGGACCCTGCCTACCCTCAGCATTTCCCACCCTGCCAAAAAAGCTGCACTGTACGTGCACCTGACCCCAGGATGAGCAAGGAGCCCTTAAGAAAACAGAAGATTCCCACAAATTCCCACAATGCAGTTCTGCTAGTTCTAAATAGGAAACTCAACACAGAGATACCTGGGGCATGAGGCTCAGCACACAGCAATGGCAATATGGCACCCACAGTGCCAGGCAAGCGTCTCCCTGCCTCTTCCCAAGATAGATTCCCTCCTCCACCCAGCAATGGCAACGTGGCACCCACAGTGCCAAGCAGCCCTCTCCCTGCCTATACGCAAGAGAAAGGTTCCCTCCTCCCTCCATTCTTGCCTCCCTTCCTTCCTTCCAGGAACATGTGCACACCTATTACATACCTCACACTCTCTTAGGTAGGTGTTCAGTTCAGGCAATGAACAGAACCAATCCTTTGCCCTGTGATGCTAGAATTTTAGCTGGAGAGACGTTTAATAATAAATGAATAAATAAATAATGGATTCACAATTTAATATTATAAAGTGATGTGTTCAGTGAAAGGCCAGAGAAGAAGTTGGGTTTTTGTGGGGAAGTGATGAGCATGACGGTTGTAGATTCCATCTGACGATGGAGAGAGTGGAGACACGACAAGGAGGATGGATCCAGGCATGTGGCCTCCCTTGCATCAGAGCACTGTCGTGCCTGGGTCCCCTGCAGCAAGGAGAAGCACCTCCGTGGAGGAGATCCCTGCTGCATACGACCCCGTGGGAGAGGCCCAGCCCAGCATCAAGCCAGAGGAGACAAGCTTTTGATTAATTCGTTCAATGAAAGTGTTCTGTGGGGGCAGTCGGACAGAATGTTTGAAAGCTCAGAAAATCTCAAACCTAAAGTTGACATCACCAGTAACAAACTTCTTACATCCCAGAATAAAGACTCTTCTTAGGACCAAGAGATGAAAAGGTAGTTTCCTACCTAGCAATTTCTGAGAACCGCTTCCACTAGTGAAACTAGTTTCTTTCTTATCCTTGGACTCAACCAACTTCTCAGCCTGCTCTTGGCAGGTCAAGCCTACTTGGCTGGCCTGGCCCCTGGGAAGGCCTTGGACAGCAAAGGCCTTGTGTCCAGGACGCCTCAGGCTCCTGTCCTGCTGCAAGCACGGGTGTCTCTCCTCCTACTTGACTTGTTGACCTCCTGGGCTTCCTGGAGTCCTGACCACTTACCTGGCCATGAGCCTCTCGATCCTTAGGTGTGAATCCCTGGCACATGCCTGTTTCCTGATCCTCAGAATTTGATTCCCCATTCCTTACCCAAAAGAGACAGTGTGAGTCAGCAAAGATGCACATTTGAACCACAGAGCCAGGTCCTTGACCTCACAGAGCTTAGACTCTGCAGTGGGGTTCTCAGCCCCAGAAGTACATTAAAATCAACTGGGGAGCATTTTAAAAATATTCATATGCTGGCCCCACCCCAAACGGGGAAACTGTTGTCCTTAGGGGTGGAACCTAGGCACTGGTATTCTTTAATAACTCTGAGATATTTGAATGTAAAACCAAGATGACCTCCAGACGTTCCTTGATGTATACAGGCATAGATACTTTTAAGGGAATTTATTCCCAAACTTTTGAATTTTAAGTAGTTTTTCTGAATATTTGTTCCCTTGAAATGGAGCCTGTGGCTCTCCTTTTCTGTCAGATCCATCACGAAGCCTTCTCCCACTTCCAGGACAAAAGCACACCTCTGCCTCCGTCCGACTGGAGCTTCGCAAGGGTGCATTGCTCTGGAATGGGAAACCCTACAGTTGCCAGACAAGGAGCAGCTCTAATCCTCTACGTAGGGAAAGCGATTGGTTCTAATTATCAGACAAGAAGTCCCATTGCAAGATATTTTCTGCATCTTGGCTTTCAACAAAATTGAAGGAGGATTTCATTGAGATGTTAATTAATTGATTATGATAATGTATCTTTGATAATACATCAATTACATAATTTTTAGCTTCTAATTAAGGAGTTCAGACAGGTGCATAGCACCTATGAAATAACTTCTATTTTCATCAAGTTACTTCCCGGAACAGCATTCGTCACTACTTAATATCTATAACAAAAATAATAATAGAGTTGATGCTAAAATAGATCTCATTCTATCAATAAGTAATAGCACACATGAATACATGACCTAAAAGGGGGAAAATAGACAAATCAGAGACCCATCAATTAACAGAGGCATTTCCAATAACACTCTTTGTATATTTAATAATTGATAAAATCAATATGTTTTAGTTGTTTTTATCTATTTTGTGCTAATAATTATAATGATAATTTAATTCAAAAGAATTTTAATACTTTCAGCCTTTTAGTCAAAAGAATTTTTAAAAATCAGTCTATATGTATGTTTTTACTGTAAAGACATGGGACAGCATAATCAATAAATGACCTTTGCTCTCTAAAATGTTGTTTTAAGACACAATTCTCTACAGAAAAGAGAATGGAATAATGAGCTCAAGGAGAAACAGCATGTAATATTTCTAATTAATGAAAAACATGTTCATGTGATTTTAATCAACTGGTGATATCAAATCTCTATAGTATCTTGATTACTTTGTATAAAAGTAATAAAAATTATATTTTAAAATGTTAATAGTTACAGACCCTGGAACTTAATTGCTTTGTAAGTATTTGAAATTATGACAAAACTATTTAGAAGTCAATCTAAAAATGCATAAATGGGTACATAATATTTCTAAAGTATTTTCAGAGTGTATATGAACAAAAGTGCATAAAGCCTCTGGTCAAGAACCTCAGTTCCCATCACCCACCATCTAATATGAACACGACTGACACTTCCTAGCTTCGATCCACCAGTTCTCTCCTTGGCTCTTGTATTGATATTTCATGGGAGAGGAACAGCAGCCTGACTAGCTCCCTTCTGAAAAGGAGTGATTTTCTGGAATTACAAGAATCCAGGGAGAGAACAAGGATTAGAACCATGAAATTCTGATGCCCAGGCTTTCCAACATGGAGAGGTCTGAGTACTTTCTGCCATGGAGTGAGAGAGAAAGGTAAAAGAGAGCCAGAAAAGGAGCCACATTCTCTTTGCAGTGCCTTCATTCACCTTGAGATCCTTTTTTCTTTTTGTGGTGAGACAGTTCACCAGAAAATTGTCTTAATAAGGACGGAAATAAGCAAAGCCTTGATATATCATAAATCTTAATCAAAGACAGTGTTTAAAGTTCTCCAGAACCTGACTGAACAAAAGAGAGTCACATAAAAGGAGGATTGACTGTGTTGGCAGAAAGAAAGTGTCAGACAGATAGCAAATGAGGGCATCATTTCTGATAGTGCAGGGGACCCCAGACATGCACATGGATGCACAGAGAGATGCACACACACACACTCATACACACAGGCAGACACAAACAGAGATGCAAATGCCCACAGATGCACACACAGACAAAGAGAGAGATGTACACACAGAGAAAGATGTACACACAGAGAAAGATGCACACACAAAGAGAGATGTACACACAGAGAAAGATGCACACACAGATGCACAGAGAGAGAGAGAGATGAAGACACAAAGATACATACAGAGATGCACACATCCAGAGGCACACACAGATGCACATGCACAGATACACAGAGAAAGAGAGACACATGAACACAGATGCACCCACACACAGAGATGCACTCAGTCACAACACTAGACCTCATGGATCGCTGTCTCCTGCGACTGCATTGGACTTCCCTCAACATCACCAAGAAGAATGCCTATGTGACAGGCTACACCCTGTATCAACCAAAAGAACAAGTGTCAGACCTGAGAAAGTAATAAAGCCCACCTAGAGACAAGATGTAGCTGATATGTTTGGGGTAAAATGCCTCCTGACACTCCATTTTTCCATCAACAGCAGGTGTGGAATGGGAAGGCTAGATTACAGAAACATTTGGTAAGCCACCAAAACACTTCCCTCACTGGAGATGGTGCAGGTGTAAAATGTATTAGCAAAGCAATTGAAACGGACAAAGTATCCATCAGGTGGGTCAGCCCTGAGGGAGTAGTGGGTGAAAAGCCCATGAAAACAGAGAAACAGAGTGAAAAAGTCCATTCTGAAATGTAATAAAGAAGGTCAAAAACAAAGCACCTTCATGAACCATATTCCTGGTTTATGCTCTACCCTGTGCCAGAGTCTCTATAGGTATCAGGTGGGGAAGCTCTGAAACCTTGGTAAGCCGTAGAGTAATTGCCGAGATGCCCCTGTGGCTCATAGCAGCTGTGGGAACATCATTCTGAATTCACTTTCGAGGTAATCAGGAAAACCAACCTGGTGCAGTCCTCAAAAGCCAACTTTGGAGCCAGTGGCGTGGTTCAAATCCTGAACTTGGAACCTTGATAAAACCCCTCCCAGGTTAGTATACTTGTGTGTACAATTGGAAAAATGTAGGAACTGACTCAAAGGTTGCTAGAATAATTAATTGTGTCTCTTAGAACAGTGCTTGACACAACGAAATGCTCTGTTTCTAACGTTCTTTCAGTATAAGAAAGAATCTTTCTTTGAAGGTAATTTTTGAAAAGATCAAGACATAAATTAAAATAATTTTCACTGAAAAAGTACAGTGCCCAAGCCAGAATATGCTGCTGTTTGGGATGAAGAAAAAACAACAAAGCTGGTGTGTGTGTGGCAGGGGAGGGGGTGGAGAACAGAAAAGATTTATAAATGGACTCAGAGATTTGAAAGGAAGGGCTCCCAAAATGTCTTGAGGCCCAACACCTTCACTAGTAGGATTCCTTCAGAGCAGGGCAGCTCTGGAAATTCCATAACAGTTGCCATAGGTCATTCAATAGTTGGGGAGTAATAGAAGATCAACAGCCATGTCTAAAGGCTGCCTTTTCTGGGTAAACGTTTCAGATTTCGTTCTATGCCCATCTAGGGCACTCTGAAGCTAGTATATTTGAAGTCCTTGAGGGAAGGCTTGTGGATGGGGGTGTCATTTCAGTTCCCCTTTGGTTGCAACCATTGGACAGAGGTAATTATTGGAACTTGTTCATTCATTCCACCAACATTTGGGTAATTTAGTGTAATCTGGCACCATCCACTGAGTGAAATATAGAAGTGGAAAATGCATGGCCATGCCTCCAAAAAGACCTGCCTACACGTCCCCGTGGATCACGTGGACAACATAACGTGCCCACACGTCCCCGTGGATCACGTGGACATCATAACATGCCCACACATCCCCGTGGTTCACGTGGACAACATAACGTGCCCACACGTCCCCATGAATCACGTGGACAACATAACGTGCCCACACGTCCCCACGGATCACATGGACAACATGACGTGCCTACACGTCCCCGTGGATCACATGGGCAACATAATGCGGAGTGGTGTGGAGGAGGATGGGATTAACTGTATGGGGGCAGGGAGAGGGTGTGCAGGGGCTGAGTAGCTTCTGAATGAAGTAACGACTCGGGTAGACTTTAGGGAGTGGGGAGAAGGCAGCAGGGGTGCATGTACGTAGCAGTCTAGGCAGATGGAACTGCAAGAGAAAAAGGAACAGGGATAGAATGGAACAGTCTGGGATGTTCAGAGATTCTGAAGATCTTGGTATTTCCAAAGTCAACAGTACAGAGAAGCAAGAGAGGTTAACAAGGAGAGGGGAAGAGGGATGGGAGATGAGCTTAGAGAAGCAGAAAGGAGAGAAGCCATTGCAGGAAGAAGCTGCTGACGTCTGCTATGTTTGTTTCAAAATCACTACTTTTATACCTTTAGAATCACACTTCATTCTTTATTCATCAATAATTTATTGAAAAGTTTGCTTTCCTGCGTTACTGGTATTGGAAATGTGCCTAGAAAAAATGCAGCTCATGGTGTGATATTATTCTTCCAGACACTCTGTTCTTTTGTTCTAATTAAAATGGTTTCCATTTTCTTCCTCACTCCATAATAATCTCTTCCAATCTGCATAGCACCTACCTCCATATCAACATAAAATGTTAGCTATCTCTAGGTCAGTTTTTGGCTCTGCAATTTCAACTAAAAAGTCAGTTTTGCTAATAATTGACAATAATGAACCAAGTTTTGTATTCATACTTGCTTACTGGTTTACAGCATTCATAGCTTAATAAAATATTGATAACACTTGCAGCTTATTAAAACGCTTAAATCCTTAGGTACTATACATGAGGAAAAAGAGTAAAATTGCCACATAGTTCCACGAAGATAATTTCTATAATTTAAATACTAGTATTTCAATGACTTTCTACTCATCCCTTTTGCCATTATGTTCTCATCATTTGAGTTAAAAATAATAGTCATTCTTTGTGCATCTTCAGATGACCCTAACAGCATTATGTTACCAAGATTTTCTCAGAACACTAAACATTTGGAAGTTATAGTTTCCAAGTTTTTGATGAAAACAAAAAAATATACTTTTTAAATGTGGCATCTTTTCTCTTCTTGAAAACTATTGCTTATTACAATCAGAGGGTGATTATTTTCAAACGATTAAGTTTGACAATAGTTTATTCTATCACAGAAATAAATCTGAGATTCAATAATTTCCAGCCTGAAAAACACTGTTCAAATTCCTGATTTCAATAAAAAGAATTTTTTTTAGTTTGCTTGCCTTTTATGCAACTAGATATGTTGGTTTAGGTAAAATCTTCTCACCCCAGGGTTTTCTCCCTGCACAATTGCAGCAAGGAATACAGGGAAGAATTTGTGTGACGAGAGTGTTTGGCAGCTGCACCTGTTACCCTTGCCTCAAAAATAATGCAATTTATAAAATATAACAGATCATTATCTTATTGTTTTATTCTGTGATGCCAACATCTCCTTAAAAACTCTACCAAGGCCAAATAAGCATCTTCTATATTTAGAATACCATGTATGGTGACTTCTCATACGTTAAGGAAAATCCAGAAATCTAAGTGTAGTGGTGAAGCCTGTGAGTGTCAAGTCCCACAGACTTGGATTCCAATCCTTGTTCCACATCCACCAGCTGTGTGAGCTGGGGCAAGTGTGTACCTGTCCAAGTGACACATTAGTAAATAATGGTAATGTTATTAATACATACTTCATGAGACTGAGTGAAGTTTAAATTAAAGGACACTGATAAAACGTCTAGCTCAGGATTTGGCAGGTGGTAAGTATGGTTAATTTTATGGGTTAAATTTAGTCGGCCACAGAGTGCCTAGATGAAACAGTGCTTCTGGATGTGTCTGTGAGGGTGTTTCCAGATGATATGGGCATTGAAATGGGTGAACTCAGTAAAGCAAATGGCCCTCTCCAGTGTGAGAGTCGCACAATCCAAATCCGCTCAGGGTCTGAAGGGGGCAAAAGGCAGAAGAAGCAGGAATCTGCCCCTTTTGTCTCCTGCCTGCCTGCCTGAGCTGGGACATCTCTTCTCCAGTTCTGGAACTAGCATCTGATTCATGCCATCAACTTGCCTCATTCTTAGACCTTTGGAACTGGGCTGGAGCTACACCACCAGCCTTCTTGCATCTTCAGCTTACAGATGGCAGATTATGGGATTTCAAGCCTCCATAATCACTTGAGCCAATTTCTCATAATACATCTCTTTTTATATCTATGCATAGAGATATAGGAATATCCTGTTGTTTCTGTTTCTCTGGAGAACGCTGACTAATGTATTGTGTCAATAATTGCTTATCATCAGTATTCCTATTACTACTATGACCACAATTATAGCAGATAATGAAGTTTTTATTCACTCTATTCAGCTTGAATGGGAAATTCTAAGGATCACACAGACCACCTTTAAGTGAAGGTTAAGAGATTTATCAGAAAGACCAGCTGTTCTTTCTACCTGCCCAGTGACCTTGTGATGTGGGGAGGGGCCGGTGCTTGAAATAACGATTGGCCAATGAGCCAGGCATGCCACTGGCCATGGTGGTTGGTTACAGAGAGGCAGGTGACAAATGAGACCAAGCACAGAATTTTTCCTAGAAAAGAAGCCCAAGCTGGCAGGACGTAAGCCTGGGGGTCTGAAACTTGGGGAGAAGCTACCTGGGAAAGCATATAAACTCTAGAAAGGGCAGTACATTTAAGCTCTTTTGTTCACTGTTGTAACACCAGTGCCTGGTATATGATGCAAAATGCCCGGCACATTATTTTAGTGTTCAAGAAATAACAGAATAAAAATATATTAAATGAATGAATGAAGTCAACACGGAGCGAAGCAGAGCTGAGAACAGGAGGAATTCCTGTTTCTGAAACGTCTTGTGAGCACTCATCTCCTTGGCCTAGAGACTGTACTTTGACTGTTAGGTTTCTTAAGCCAATAAATACCACTCCCTTTAAAAACAATCAATCATAATCATATAAATTTTATTTTTGTCACTTGCAACAGAGTCTTGACTCATACAAAAGATATTTATAATGTTTCCGGGATTTACTGTGATCTACCTGATTCTCAGTCCTGAGAAAAATAGTTTTTTTCCTTGTCTTCAGGATAATTGATAACAATCCTGGCTTTAGAAGAAAATATGTTTTATTGAAAAATAGCATCATCCCCCTTTCAGCTATTGATCGTGCCTTAAGGGTCTGAGGGTTGTGCCACATGAAGAGCCTCGTTTTGTTTAGATCTTCCCACTCTAAAGTGCCTTTACTTAGGTGTGCAAAAGAATCATTGTGGGGATTTTAAACTAGCATCTCAGGTGATCTGAACACAGGTGGAGCAGCACTTTTTATGGGCTCCTCTCACTGATTTAGAAGCCTAGGTGACTGCCTTCAAAGATCAACTCTGTATAGTGAATAAAACTCTACTGCACAAATTATGATCTAGAAAAAGAACAAATATTACACAGGTAATGGCAATTGAGGAATAATTAAACAGAAGCTAACTGCCCATAAAAGTTCAGTTAGTAAGCATAGAAATAGGACAAATGCAAAATAGTTGGGGACAACATGGCAGAGCACTCTTCATAAAGGAGGAAGGACTAGACCCCAAATTTAAAGAATGAGAAGGAATTTGATAGAAAGAAATTTGAGGAAATAGCATAAATCCTGTGGGTTGCTGGCAAATGGTGTCTTCAGATGTGCTGAGATCATAGGGCATGGGGTTCAGAGATACAGTTAGAAAAGGGCCGAGGAATTGGATCATTGAGGATTTTAAAGATACACTGAGATATTTGCACTCAATGAAGATACCTGGAGCCAAGAAGGGTTTGTTCAAGATTTAGAGCAGTAGAGTGATTTGAACCATGAGGGGTTTCTAATGATACCTATTGGGGAAGAGTGGAGAGAGAACCAGAAGATCTGGAAGGTCATTATATTAGTTCATTTTCACACTGCTGTAAAGATACTACCTGAGACTGGGTAATTTATAAAGGAAAGAGATTTAATTGACTCACAGTTCTGTGTGGCTGGGGAGGCCTCAGGAAACTTAACAATCATGCGGGAAGGCCAACCAGGCACCGCCTTTACAATGTGGCAGGAGGGAGAAGAGTAAGTAGTGAAGGGGGAAGAGCCCCTTGTAAAACCATCAGATCTCATGAGAACTCACTATCATGAGAACACCAATCCAATCACCTCCTACCAGTTCCCACCCTCAACACATGGGGATTACGGGGATTACAATTCAATATGAGATTTGGGTGGGGACACAGAGCCAAACCATATCAGTCATAATCCATGGGCAAGGTCAAGGATACAGGAAACTGATTATGGATTTACGCATGAGCATGGAAACTGAGCATGGACTGATGATCTCAGCTCTGTAGGAGAGACTACACAGCACTGAAGCTGCTGTGATATTCACATCACGTTAGGATGGCCTCTCCTGTGCTCCGCAACATCATTCATCCAGAGTTGTCAACAGCTGATGGGAGTAAGCTGAAAAACACTATGGAAAATATGTGGGCACCCCAACTAACTTTGACTTCATGTCTCATAGGAACTTTTGAAACTACACTAGTAAAGATGAAACTCATAGCTAAGAGTCACTCTTTATTAATTTTTGCAACTTCAATGGTAACTTCTAATCTGATGAACATCATCTACAAAGTAAACATGCTTCTTGGTCTCAGGGAGAGTGTTCTTCACTGATTACTGTAGAAGTTCAGAATTGTCCCATTTTAATAACTGAAGCATCCTTAGCATACATTTTGGTACATCAATCTATCCCTCTAGTCTTGCTATGTTAACTATATTTGCTGTTAGCCATGATTTTTGCCAAGTAAAAAAAATTAATCATTTTGTATTAAGCCGTTTTAAATCCTTCTTTGGAACAAAATAGTAACTTCAATAAAAAACATACAAACACATAAAAATTTAAAAGAGCAGTACACAGTCCTATCCAAATTGTCTCAATGCTTTTATCATTCTTTTCCCTCCCAATTTGTGCACTTGGGCACCTATATATACTGTCTTGTGTTAGCACCTCATATTACCTCCTTGTGCCCCTTCAAGTCCTAGTTCTCTCTATATATGTGAATTTACCTTGACTATTCTGTTCTCTGCTCTCATTGGTGCTTTTGGCACCTTGCCTTCCATCCCAATATCCCAGGACTAACCTGGTGATAACATTAGATGGGAAGCAAGGGCTGCTATAGCAGGTTCTCTGATCTTGTTTCCATTATGGCCAGGAGCTCCCACCCCTTTTCCACTGGGGAGATGTTATCTAAGAGAATACTCCTGGTCATTACATTACATACAGAAAACAAAGATCAGAATGACACCAGATTTCTTACTGGAAACATACAAGCCATACAATAGTAAAAGAACATCCATGAAGTGCTATCAAAAAAAAGCTGTCTACCTAGAATGCTATAATCAATGGATATATTGTTGATAAATAATGACAAAATAAATATATTTCAAATATATAAAACCTGATGAATTAATAAATGGTAGGCATGCACTACAAGAAATAATAAATGAAGGGGGAAGAAAAACTATATGATATGGAAATCTAGATCTACAGAAAGGAATTTTTAAAACTGGAAATTGTAACTTGTATATTGCAACAACAATATAAAATAAGTTTTCCTTATAATTTAAAACCCTTTAAAAGAATTGATCAAGGGAAAAATAATAGCAATGGATTGTACAGTCTATACCACATGGAGACTTAAAATATATTGCAATAATACCACAAAAACAAAGAGAGAAATGTAAACATTTTTTCTTGAGTTCTTATACTACTTTTGAGTGAAATAGTATCACTTCAAGTTATACTGTGATAAGTTAAAGGTGTATACTATAAAACCTAAAGCAGTCTATAAAATGAAAACAAAAAGAGTTCTAGGTAATAAGCCAACAGATGAGAATTATTAGAATAAGAATAAAGACACTCAATTGCTCAAAAGAAGGCAGTTAAAGAGAATTTTTTTTTTTTTTGGGAGACAGAGTCTCGCTCTGTCACCCAGGCTGGAATGCAGTGGTGTGATCTCAGCTCACTGCAACCTCCGCCTCCTGGGTTCAAGCAATTCTCTGCCTCAGCTTCCTGAGTAGCTAGGATTTCAGGTACCCACCACCACACCCAGCTAATTTTTGTATTTTTAGTAGAGACGAGGTTTCACCATCTTGGCCAGGCTGGTCTTGAACTCCTGACCTTGTGATCCACCCGCCTCGGCCTCCGAAAGTGCTGGGATTACAGGCATGAGCCACCACTATTTCTCTCTGGCAAAGAGAAAATTTTTTAAAGTACAAATAGAAAAAAAAACAGCAAGATAGGAAATTTAAATCAAGCCATCAACAATAACTGCATTGAATATAAATGGTCTAAACACTCCAATTAAATTATGGCAATTATAAGACTGGATAAAGAAGCAAGACTCAAATGTATGCTGCCTACAAGAATCCCACTGTACAAATAAAGACTAAATATAATAAAAGTAGAATGATAGGAAAAGGTATAGCATGGTAACACCAATCAGAAGCATGCTGGAATAAGTATGATTTCAGGCCAAAATGTGAAGAACTTGGAAGTTGTCACTTCCATCCTTATAACAAATGAAAAAAAAACTATACATCAACTTTTTTGTATCCACCAAAGAGGTTAAGTTGGCAGAGAAAACTACCACCATGAAATCTGTGGAAAATGATAAATCCAGAGAGTCTGAGCTGAGATCTGGCTTCAGCAGAAGCCACTGAAGCCAAAAATCTGGCAGAAACGTGTAATTAGGAAGTTAGATGAATTGCTGGAGGCTAGATGCAGACTCTCAGGAGAGTGAGAAACTCCTGGAGCCACAGTCTTAGAGGGATCCCCACACTTTCACAGATCTTAACACAATGAACTTCACCAGGTTTGCATGGTGATGATCTCAGAAAGATCCCATGGTAGCACTGGCAGGGTAGGGTCAGGGAAACTCATTGTGAAATATACCCAGAGCATTCTCCTTAACAAAGGCTTACAGTGCACAGGAAAAGGCTTTACCAAAGATTTATCTCACTGGGGGGAAAGGGCATTCCTGCCACTTCAGACCCCTCCACCTTTCCTGCCAAGGCCAAGAGAAAATAAAAATCAGTACTAATGGAAAAACACTTGTGAAACACATAGCCCAGAGACACAGGTCCAGGAAGAGACTGAGATTTAATCATAACATTACAGAATGTTTCCCTCCCTACCCCCTACAGTTCACCAACAAATCATCAAGGCTCAGGAATGATAATACTGGACTACCGCTGAAACAGCAGCAAGACACAGCAATATTCTCTGAGGAAGAGTACTTAAAGAAGCCCAGAGACAAGAGAGAATATAGAAACAAGAGTACTAGAGGAGTTTGAAGCCTCTGGCAACTACAGTCATAACAAACATAAAACACAGCCCAAGACCTAACCAGATTAGCATAAATCCTCACATTAAAGGCCTATTTACCTGAGTTCCTATTACTTGATACAACATGCCCAGGCTCCAACAAAAAATTATAAGGCATACCAAGGAGGAGAAAAACCACAGCCTGAAGAGACAAAACAAGCACTGAAACCAGATTCAGCTATGGTACAGCTGTTGGAAGTGTTAGATAGGAAATATAAAGTAACTAAGATTAATATGCTAAGTTCACTAATGAAGAAAGTAGACATCACACATAGACAGGTAATGTAACCAGAGAGATTAGAATTATATGAAAAAACTTTTTTAAAATGTTAAAAATAAAATGATGAATGAACTCCCATTCATGATTGCTACAAAGCAAAAAAGATACCTAGAAATACATCTAACAAGAGAAGTAAAGGACCTCTTCAAGGAGAACTACAAACCACTGCTCAAGGAAATCAGAGAGTACACAAACAAATGGAAAAACATTCCATGCTCATGGAGAGGAAGACTTAAAATTGTGAAAATGGCTACACTGCCCAAAGTAATTTATAGATTCAATAATATTCCCATTAAACTATCATTGACATTGTTCACAGAATTAGGAAAAACTATGTTAAAATTCATATGGAACCAAAAAAGAGCCTGAATAGCCAAGACAATCCTAAGCAAAAAAACAAAAACAAAGAAACAACAAAAAAAAACAAAGCTGGAGGCGTCACGCTACCCAACTTCAGACTATACTACAAGGCTACAGTAACCAAAATAGCATGGTGCTGGCACAAAAACAGACACATAGACCAATGGAACAGAATAGAGAACTCAGAAATAAAACCAAACACCTACAACCGTCTGATCTTTGACAAACCTGACAAAAACAAGCAATGGGGAAAGGATCTCCTATTTAGTAAATGGTGCTGAGAGAGCTGGCTAGCCAAATGCAGAAAATTGAAACTAGACCCCTGCCTTACATGTTATACAAAAAATAACTCAATATAGATTAAAGACTTAAATGTAAAACCCAACACTATAAAAACCCTAGAAGAAAATCTAGGCAATACCACTCAGGACACAGGTATAGGCAAATATTTCACGATGAAACACCAAAAGCAATTGCAACAAAAACAAAAACTGACCAACTGGATCTAATTAAACTAAAAAGCTTCTGCACAACAAAAGAAACTTTCATCAAAGTGAACAGACAACCCACAGAATGGGAGAAAATTTTTGCAATCTATCCATCTGACAAAGGTCTAATATCCAGAGTTGACAAGGAACTTAAACAAATTTATAAGAAAAAAAAACAAACAAAGGATATGAACAGACACTTCTCAAATGAAGACATTCATGGGGCCAACAAATATATGAAAAAAAAAGCTCAACATCATTGATTATTAGAGAAAAGCAAATCAAAACCCCAATGAGATACTATCTAACACCAGTTAGAATGGCAATTATTAAAAAGTCAAGAAACAGCAGATGCTGAAGAGGCTGCAGAGAAATAGGAATGCTTTTACACTTTTGGTGGGAATGTAAATTAGTTCAACCATTGTGGAAGACAGTGTAAAAAAAATAAAATAAAAAGCATCCACATTGAAAAAGAAGATAAATTGTCTGTTTGCAGATGGCATAACCTCCTATGTAGAAAACCCTAAAGATGCCACCAAATGCTATTAGAATTAATAAACAAATTCCTTAGTTTCTGTATATTTAATAAGATTTCTTAGCTTGTTAAAATATCTACAAAAAATATATAGTTTTCATAATGGTGAGAAATTGAACTTGTTTGGCCTAAGACTGGAAACGAGTCAAGAATGTCCCCTTCTCATCACTCCTATTTAATATCATGCTGGAATTCCTACCTAGTGCATGAAATAAAGGAACTAAATAAATAAAGAAATAAAACTATTTCTAGTCACAGATGATATGATTATCTATGTAAAACATTCTAAAGAATCATAACACTCCTGGAACTAATAAACGAGCATAGCAAGGTCACAGGAGACAAGGTTAACCTATAAAAGTCAACTGCTGTCCTATATATGAGAAATGAACATTGGGATTCAAGATTTTTTTTAATATATCTGTTCCAATAACCTGCTCCTCTCCCAAAATTAAATACTTAGGTATATATCCAACAGAGTATGTACAGAATCTATACATAAAAAACTACAAAGAAAATCTAAATAACCGGGGAGATATTCAGTATCCATGCATCAGAAAATTCAATATTGTTAAGGTATTAATTCTATCCAACTTGACTTATGGACTCAACATGATTCCAGTCAAAATCTCAGAAAGTTATTTTGTAGAAATCAACAAGTTGATTTTAAAGTTTATATGAAAAGATGAGACCTAGAACAAACAATACAATAAAATAGAAAAAAAAAAGTTGAAATACTTAACACTACCAATTTCAAGATTTGTTGTAAAGCTACAGTAATCAATACCACATGATACTCATGAAAGAAAAGACAAATAGATCAATAGGGAACAGAATAGAGGGCCCAGAAATAGACCCACATAAATATAGTTAGCTGATACTTGACAAAGGAGCAAAGGCAATTCAGTGAAGAAAGGGTAGTCTTTTCAACACATGGTGCTTTAACATTTGGATGTCCATATCCCAAAAAAAGAACCTATATGCAGACATTACACCTTTCACAAACATTAACTGAAAATGAATCATACGCCTAAATGAAAAATACAACACTAAAAAACTCTTAAAGGGAAACCTTTGTTTCCTTGGATTTTGTGATAAATTTTCAGCTACAACACTAGAAGCAGTTTCGTGAAAGAAAGCATTTAGGTTGGACTAATTAAAATTTAAAGATTCTGCTCTATAAAATATACTATTAAGTGATTGATAACACAAGCCTCAAACCTGGAGAAAATATATGAAAACCACATATCTAATTACAGATTTGTATCCAGAATATATAAAGAACTTTTACATTCAATAACAAGAAAACAACCCAAGGAAAAAGCAGACAAAATATCTGAACAGATACCTCACCAGAGACAATATACAAATGGCAAATAAGCATATAAAAGGTTCTCAATATCACTTGCATTAGAAAACTGCAAATTAAAACAACACTCTTAAGGGCAAAATATTTTTTAAAAACGGACAATGCCAAATGCTGGCAAGTTCCCATAGACTTCTGGACACCTTCTGTGCTGACAATTGGAAGTCATTAAGAAAGTTTCTCAAAGGTGTTTTTGTGTCTTCAACTTTTGATAGGAATCACGTTCTATATAAAAGCTGTTGGCCTCAGTAGAGAACATTTGAACAACTCATAAACAATCTTAACTAAACATACGTAGAGAATTTTAACCAAGAATTATAGAATAAATATTTTTAATGCATGAAACATTTAATTTATAAAAATTTAATACCTAAAAAACCACAAGGCAAGACATCACAAATGGCAAAAAAATTGATATTTTACAGATCACAGTTTCTGACTACAGTACAATTGTGCTGGAAATCAGTGACAAGCCACAGCAATGCCCAAACATTCTTTTTTCATTATTATTTTTCTTGTAACATTTTTAATAAATCATAAAAAATCATAATAAAAATTAAAAACTACTTAAGATTTAACTTAAGAAAATACTATATATCTAAATTTGTGGTATGCTGATAAAATATTGGGAAGTTTATATTCCTAAGCACTTTTATTAGAAAATAAGAAAAACTGAAAGTAATCATCTGATATGGTTTGGCTGCATCCCCACCCAAATCTCATCTTGAACTGTGGTTCCCATAATTTCCGTGTGCTGTGCAAGGGACCTGGTGGGACGTAATTGAATCATGGGGGCGGGTTTTTCCCTTGCTATTCTCATGATAGTGAATAAGTCTCATGAGACCTGATGGTTTCATAAGGAGTAATTTCCCTACACATGCTTTCTTGCCTGCTTCCATGTAAGACATGCCTTTGCTCCTCTTTTGCCTTCTGCCATGATTGTGAGGCCTCCCCAGTCATGTGGAATTGTGAGTCAATTAAACCTCTTTTTCTTTATAAATTACCCACTCTTGGGTATGTCTTTATTAGCAACATGGGAACAGGATAATACAGTAAACTGGTATAAGAAGTGGGGTGCTGCTATAAGGATACCCAAAAATGTGGAAGCGACTTTGAAACTGGGTAACAAGGAGAGGTTGGAACAGTTTGGAGGGATCAGAAGAAGACAGGAAAATGTAGGAAAGTTTTAAACTTCCTAGAGACTTGGAGGGATCAGAAGACAGGAAAAGGGGGGAAGTTTGGAACTTCCTGGAGACTTATTGAATGGCTTTTACCTAAATGCTGATAATAATAAGGACATTAAAGTCCAGGCTGAGGTGGTCTCAGATGGAGATGAGGAACTTTTGGTGAACTGGAGTAAAGGTCACTCTTGCTATGCAGAGAGACTAGCAGCATTTTGCCTCAGCCCTAGAGATCTGTGGAACTTTGAACTTGAGAGAGATGATTTAAGGTATCTGGTGGAATAAATTTCTAAGCAGCTAAGTGTTCAAGAGGAAGCAGGGCATGAAAGTTTGGAAAATTTGCAGGCTGATGATGCAATAGAAAAAAAAACATTTTCTGGGGAGAAATTCAAGCTGGCTGCAGAAATTTGCGTAAGTAACAAGGAACTGAATGTTAATCACCAAAACAATGGGGAGATGTCTCCACGGCATGCCAGAGACTTTTGTGGCAGCACCTCCCATCACAGGCCCAGAAGCCTAGAAGGAAAAAATGATTTTCAAGGTGGGGGCCAGGGCCCCCGTGCTCTGTGCAGCCTAGGAACTTGGTGCCCTGCATCCCAGCCTCTCTAGCTGTGGCTAAGAGGGGCCAAGGTACAGCTCGGACCATGGCTTCAGAGGGTGGAAGCCCCAAGACTTGGAGGCTTCCACATGGTGTTGGGCCTATGGGTACACTGAAGTCAAGAATTGAGGTTTGGGTACCTCCGTCTAGATTTCAGAGGATGTATGAAAATGCCTGGATGTCCAAGCAGAAATTTGCCACAGGGTTGGAGCCCTCATGGAGAAGCTCTGCTAGGGCAGTGCGGAAGGAAAATGTGGGGTGGGAGCTCCCACACAGAGGCCCCGCTAGGGCACTGCCTAGTGAAGCTGTGTGAAGAGGACCACCATCCTCCAGACCCCAGAATGATAGAACTACCAACAGCTTGCCCCATGCACCTAAAAAAGCTGCAGACACTCAACACCAGCCTGTGAAAGTGGCCAGAAGGCGGGCTGTACCCTGCAAAGCCACAGAGGCAGAGCTGTCCAAGGCCATGGGAACCCCCCACTTGCATCAGCATGACTTGGATGTGAGACACGGAGTCAAAGGAGATCATTATGGAGCTTTAAGATTTGACTGCCCTGCTAGATTTTGGACTTGCATGGGACCTGTAGCCCCTTTGTTTTGGCCAATTTCTCCTATTGGGAATGGATGTATTTACCTGATTCCTGTACCACCATTATATCCAGGAAGTAACTAGCTTGCTTTTGATTTTACAGACTCATAGGTGGAAGGGACTTGCCTTGTCTTAGATGAGACTTTGGACTATGGACTTTTGAGTTAATGCTGATATGAGTTAAGATTTTGGGGAACTGTTAGGAAGGCATGATTGGTTTTGAAATATGAGGACATGAGATTTGGGAGGGGCCAGGGGCAGAATGATATGGTTTGGCTGTGTCCCCCCACTCCAAATCTCATCTTGAATTGTAGCTCCTGTAATCCCCACATGTCACGGGAGGGACCCAGTAGGAGGTAGTTGAATCACAGGGGTGGGTTTTTCCCGTGCTGTTCTCGTGATAGTTTATAAGTCTCATGAGATATGCTGGTTTTATAAAGGTCAGTTCCCCTGCACATGCTTTCTTTGGCCTGCCTCCATGTAAGATGTGCCCTTGCTCCTCCTTCACCTTCTGCCATGATTGTGAGGCCTCCCCCAGCCATGTGGAACTGTGAGTCCATTAAACCTCTTTTTCTTTATAAATTACCCAGTCTCAGGTCTTTCTTTTTTGTTTTGTCTTGTTTTGAGAAGGAGTCTCACTCTGTCGCCCAGGCTGGAGTTCAGTGGTGCAATCTCGGCTCACTGCAAGCTCAGCCCCCTGTGTTCACGCCATTCTCCTGCCTCAGCCTCCCAAGCAGCTGGGACTACAGGCACCCACCACCATGCCCGGCTAATTTTTTTTGTTTTGTTTTGTATTTTTAGTAGAGACAGGATTTCACCATGTTAGCCAGGATGGTCTTGATCTCCTGACCTCATGATCCACCCACCTCAGCCTCCCAAAGTGCTGGGATTACAGGCATGAGCCACCACACCTAGCCTAGGTATTTATTCATAGCAATGTGAGAATGGAGTAATACATCATATAAACACCCTACTTAATAAGTTCAAAACAAGAATAGCATAATGAGTAGCAAAAGACCAAATAAAGCAGAAAGAAGAAAATAGTAGCTAGACAAGCATGAACTAAGGGCTGAGAAAAGCTGCACACAGCAAAAATTCCACACTGCCATGACACTATTCCATGAGAAGATTAAGAAAATTGTTCAAAACAACATGTTGTAAATCATAAATATACACAAGTTTTGTCAATTAAAAATTAATTTTAAAAAGAAAATTTTAAAAAGAAAAATAAAATTGTTTAACTTCTACAGGATAAAAAAATAAGTGAGAAGACACAAGCAAAGTGGGTATATCTCCATGCTACAGTGCCTAAAAATAATACTATGTATAACTGCTTGCCAAAAAATAAAAAGATAGGAAATGGACAAATTCCTAGATAAAATATAATTGTAGAAATTACTTTTAAAAAATAAAACCTGAATAACTCTATTAAATAGAGCAAATTAATTGTTGAATATCTCCCCATAGAGTACAGCATGCCTAACAACTTTACCAGACAGTTCTAACAAATTATGAGAGCAAATAATTCTTGACTTAAACTATCTCCAAGAATGTACTTGCCAATTCATTATAATTTCAGCAAAACTTTGATACCAAAGCTAGACAAAAACAATATGTGAAAGAAAAAGGCTCAAGTCAATCTTATTCACTAACAGGGATTTGAAAATAATTTTCAAAAATTGAATCTGAAATGTATAAAAAACTAAATAAAGTATGACCAAATTGGATTTACGCTAGGAATACAACACTGATGTCTCATTTAAAAATCTATTAATGTAACTCATGGTATAACAGAATAAATGACAAAACTCACACGACTACCCCAATAGATGCAATTAGAGAATTTAATAAAATTCAATATCCATTAAGGATAAAAATTATGAGCCAGCTAGGATCAATCTAATAGAAGGTTTTTTAAAAATTGCTTCAAAACAAGTCAGCAGTAAAATGTTTGAAACATTCCCTTTAAGAGCAAGAATAAGACAAGAATATCCACTGTTACCACTTTTATTTAATGCTGAACTGTAAAATGAAAAACTAAAAAGTTATAAAAGGATATAAAAGAAACAAAATTGCACATAAAAAGGCCAAAATAATCAACAGTTAAATTATTAGAATTAATAAGGGTTTAGCAAGATTACTGGACATAAAATCAATATACAAAAGACAATGCTATTTCTATAACCAGTAATAAACGTTAGAAAAGATAAACTTATGATTCTCCACAGCAACAATAACAAAAATACCAAAGAAAAACATCTAACAAAAGATGTGCAAGATCTTTATGGAGAATATTAAATGCCATTGAAAGATATCGGTCATCTTTTTGGGAAGTATCTTTGTGAATATTGAGGATATCTTTTTTTCATGATATATTTTAATACATGAAATATCTAATTAATTGAGAGAAATATTCATGATCATGGATAGGAAACATAAATTCTTCCCAATTTGTCTCTCTTTAAAGCAGTCTCTATCAAAATTCCAACAGACTTTGGCCCAACTTACAAAGCTAATTATTAGCAGATAAAGACAGACGAAAGTTCAGAAATAGCTAAACTTTTATGAAGATCAATAGCAGGGACTATGGTCGTCAAGGCAACTGGGGGAACTGCCCTAAGAGAGACCACATTTATAAAACTATAGTAACTAAGGTGGTGTGGGTTTGATGCAGTGAATAATACAGACCAATGAAACAGAGAAGAAAGTCACAGAACACAGCAGTGAGTATATTAAAATTCAATTTATGACAGAGCTACAATTGCAAACTAAAAGGAATGAGACAATTTTTCATTATGCATATGAAAGAAAATGCCATTGGATCCCTACCTCAAATCATGCACAAAATCTACTCCAGTGCAATTAACAATCTTAGTGTGAAATCAAGGCATACGAAATGCAAAAGGCAATATTCCCCCTTATCCACAGGTGTTAACCAGGAATACTACCAACCCCTATATATACTATGTTTTTTTTCCATACATGTGCACTTATGATAAAGTTTAATTTATAAATTAGGCACAGAAAGAGTTTAACAGCAATAACTAATAATAAAACAGAACAATATACTGCAATAAAAGGTAAGTGTGGGCTCTCTCTCTCTCTCTCTCTATTTCTCTCTCTCTCTCTCTCTCAATATCTTAATGTTTCGGACTGCTGGTAACCGGAACCACAGAAAGCAAAGCTGTGGCTAAGGGGAAACTGCTGAATAGAGAAGTATCTTCATGAACTTCAGGAAAAGATGAGGTTCTATCTTCTCAGCCTGGGGTCTTTCTTCTATGCATTCTCTCCCCCAGTTTATCTGACATTCTGAACCACTGAGGGGAAAGGCAGTTCTGGTAGAAAAGGGAGATAGATCAGTACAGAAAACACTGAATTGCCTGGGAGTGAAAAAACAGACCTTAAGTCCGACATTGTTTTCAAATAACTACAGTTTCCAAGAAAGGAGCCACAAAGAGCCACAGTGTCCGTGACTGAAAGAATGCACCCAATACTGGGCAAGTGCTGACAGTGAGAAACCCTCTCCCCAGGCTCCAAGAACAGATGGAAGCCTCACAGAGACAGCGTCTTGCAAGTGTCATCTTAACCTGCGTGACACCAAAGTGCTCAGTGTTCTTCTGTTCTTGATCTCAATCTTCGTTTTTTTTAATATTGCTTTTTCATTATTATTTAACAGAATAGTTACTGCTGTTTTAAAATTTACACTAGTTTTTAAACAGTGATTTTGTATGCCTTTGACAGTTTTATCTTATTTCTGACAGGCAAATATTTGTTTTTTGGGGAGGAGAAGAGCATGTGAATCCTGCTTTTCTATCCCCCACATTGTCATGAATGGGATGATAGACATAAGTTTAAAAGAATGGGGCCGAGGGTATAAGTTCTATCCTGGAGAAGACAAGGGTCAGAAACAATTCCCTCAGAGGCTGATGACTAAGCCCATGATTCAAAGACAAGCAGAAGGTAATGTGGTAAAGTGAATTGACGCAAGTGTTTGAGACCAAAGAGATTTCAGGAAATGAACAACGTTAGACAAGTCCCAGGGCAAGAACAAACATCTGAGGTAAACGAAGGTACAAAACACGTGGCTCGCACAGATCTGGATTCAAATCCTAGCTCCAAAACTCACCATCCTTGTGATCTAATGTGAGTGACAGTGACCTCTGAAGTTGATTCCTCAAGGATTTTATAAGGATTACAAATAACACATGCAAAATACCTGGTACGTACTGGATAGTCCATCCATGTTAGCTATGACTATTACTATTAGTAAGGTGTAGCAATACCTATTTTTCTCCACATGCTTGGACAATTACCAGGCCTTAGTCCCTAGTCACTTCATCATTAGTAATTTAATAGTGTATCTTTTCCTCAATGGTTCACATTTCCACACTGGTATAATGTAGCTCCCTTATGTGACTGGGCTTATCTCAGGGCTCTACCTACTGTTCCAATTTTTGGCTTCTACCCATGTACCAGTACCATACTTCCAAACTGGTTCAGCTTTATCATCTCATGGGGTCTAATGGAATAAATCCTTGTTCTTCGAATTGTATGGAATATTTGTGGCAGGTTATATTTTACACACACACACACACACACTCACACTCATCCATACACATGACGTCCACACCACATGTTGCTGACACTACTTCCACCAGCAGACAGGTGCATATTCCCTTCCCTTGAATCTGTGCAGGGTCCTTTGACTAACACCCATTGCAGAGTGGTGCAAATGATGTGTTTGTGACTTCTAAACCTACGTCACAGGAGGATACAGCTTCAGCCCGGCTCTTTCGGGACACACGGCTTCAGAGCCGAGCTGACATGTAAGTCCGGCCACCCTGATGGTGTGGGAAGATGACCTACAGAGAGGGAAACAGCCAAGGAGCACCACCCCCCACCCCTGCCCGGTACAGTCCTCCCAGCCAGGGCACTGGGCACATGAGTGAAAGTGACCTTAGATCATCCCAGCCAGCAGCCTGGAAGTCCTAGAGCTGATGCCAAGGAAAGCAGAAATGAGCTGTCCCCACCAGTCCCTGCCCAGATCTAATGTGAGTGACATATCCTCTAAAGTTGATTCCTCAAGGATTTTATAAGGGTTACATGGTAAAGGTTTTGCTGCACTGAGCTTTGGGGTCATTTGTTACACAGCCCTAGTAACAGGAACAATATTCTGGGCCTTTCACTGCTCCATCAGCTTATTAAATTACAGAAGAAAAAAAAGCCCTTGGAAAATGTTTAATAGAATTGCTTTGAATTTGAGACAAACACAAACATCTTTCCAATACTGAGTCTTCCTGACATGATGTGCAATACGCCAAATTCTTCTTTGTATCTCTCAAAGTGATATATGCTTTCTTCTCTTTTAATCGTTTAATAAGTTACATCTATACTTCTAGTTGCAAACAACTCAGCATTCCCATGATAATCCCACCTTTGTCAGCCTACACTTTTATACATGTTTCTGGATTTGATTTGCTAATATTTTATTTGAGATGTCTCAGTCTATATACGTAAAAGAGGTATATAACTTTTTATTCTTCTCTGATTTTGATAAAAGGTCATATAAAGCACATCAAATGAATTGGTTCATATCTCTTGTTATTCTGCTCTCTCAAAATTGGGATGTTGGATGCCTTAACTATTTGCTGGAACTTGCATACAGAAGCCATTAGGCCTGGTGATTGGGAGAGGTAATTTGTTTTTGGAGCAAATTTAAACTACTAATACAATGGCTTTAATGATAGAAGTATGTTTGTCTATTCTTGTTTCACATTGGGTAAATTTTTACTTTTCTAAGTAAATGAAAACATTTCATTTTTGTATTATTACTGAACAATGGTTTACCTAGATATAGAATTCTATCTCTTATATCTACTATTGTTTCTTGTTGACACTGCTGTCCTTCTAACTGCAGCTTTTACCTATTCTCCCTTCTAACAGTGTGTCTTTGGAGTTCTTCTGTTTCATTAGCACATATTCAGATGCAGACCCTTCCTTGGGCTCATTGAAATAACAGAATCCGAATGGCCATGGCTGTCTGCACGCTGCATGCTCTGCGTTCCTCCTGCTCTGCACTGAGTTCCGTTGGATGTACATTTGATCATCTCGCTGCCCACGTGTCCCAGGCTCGCTCTGGTACTTCCCATCTCTCTGTGCTCTGCAGTGCATTCTGTGTAAGTTTCCCGGTTTCACATTTCACATCACCAATTATTCATTTCACTTAATAATCTGATCAGATTTTTTTTCTGTTTCAGTGAGTTTACATTTTATTTCTAAAAGTTCTGTGGCTTATCTTGCATGCTTTATTACAATTCCAAGACGTCTTTGACATATTTAAACATCCTTCAGGATTGGATCCTGTTGTTTTTCACGTTTGACTCTTTGCGCTCTCTTCCTGTTTTGTAATTTTGGATTGCATGCCTACTGTGCTTCGCTTCATCTAGGATGTACTGCGCACTCTCAGCTGAGGATCTGTGCCTCCAGGCAGTTTGTGTTTCCTTCTGCCAGGCAACCAGTAGTATCTCCAGCCTCTATTACTTTTGTGTTATTTTCTCAGGCCAAGGATTCTCATGTCATGTAGAAGGAATAAAGTCAACCTCTAATCTTCATGAGGATAGGCTTATGGCTACAAAATCTCAGGGAAGTTATTTTTCATCCCCAAACCTAGATCAAGAAAAACAATGTTCCTTCATTTTCCAATTTTCTATTTCAAAATTTTTCAAACTTCCAGAAAAGTAGGAAGAACAGTATGATTGCACATATACCCACTCCCTGGATGATTAATATTTTGTCATAAAGGTCTCATCTATACATTCAACTCTATGTATACATATTTGCTGAACCACTAGAAAGTAAGTTGTAGACACCATAACACTTTAACCCTGAATACTTCTGCATGCAAATTCTAAGAATAGAATATTCTGACAATATTATTACATTTGAGAACATTAACAAAAAATTCTTAGTTTGATCTACTATCCAGTCTATATTCAATTTCCCCAATGGCCCACAAAGGGTCTTAGGGTCTTCTGTACTTTGGTTTTTGTTTTTTTTTCTTAACCAGATTCCATCAAGTTTTACACACTATATGTGGTTGTAAATAATCTTTACTTTTATCTCCTAATGAAGGAAGGTGGGTTTATTTTTAGTTCATCTTTTCATGAGGCTTCATTCAGAGATAAGAAATCCATTTCCCCACTGTGCATCAGCCCCGGACGTCACTTGTTTTCCCTGAATTAGCATTGCAGCCAAAGGCCCAAAGGAGCAGGTGGCAATCACTGCACCCTCCAACCCCTATCTCAGGACACCTGGGCACAAGGTGGTGCTGTCATTCTGGGGGTCAATTTCCTCTTCCGTTTTGGCCCTTGGATATTTTCATTTCATTTCCTGAGATCTCAGCTACTCACTAAGAATTCAATATTTAATTAAATATTTCTAAGTATTTCATAGGTAGCCCTCCCCACTGCCTTGTCTGTGACCTCTTTTTTTTACCCCCAGCACCTAACACCATACCTGACACATTCAGGAGTACCCCAAGTGTTTTTTGAATGGAACAGATTAAATGAAATCATACCCTTATTTTATCATGATTAAATCCACATGTGCCCACTTTAAATTTTTTTTTTACTGTCAATTACTTTAAATCCTTAGTTCCAAACTAAAGAAGTGATTTTGAAGAAATAGGACCTACACCTGCCTATACCCAGACATTCTACTCTATCATCATCTATGGTTATTGACAGCATGGCCTAGACCTGCAGAGGGCATCCATTCCAGTAAGCTAATCTCAGATCAATTTTCCTATAGAACATAGATTGTTGATATTCTCAGATGCAGAGGAAAAATACATTTTTGTTTTATTAAAATTGCCAGGTCAGCAGCCCTAGCTCACTTTGTATCCTAATACACACAAACCAAGGCATGCACTTAATTTTTTATTATTTGAATCATTATGCTATTATTTCACAATAGCATAGTGCCTCTGAGCTTTGCACTTAAATGGCGTCTGAGTTCAAAAGCACATCATACTGAGTTTGATCCTCAAGGCTCCAAATCAGAAGTCTCCCCGGGTTGGACACAAGAGCAGCGCACTCATTTTAGCAGCTGCACCCATCCTGGAGCGCAAGCTTGCCTTTTATCAGGCACTGTGAATGCTTGAATACCAGGTATAAAGTCTTGACAGATTTTCCTCACACGTCTACAAGGACTGACAATTCCAAATAAGTATGGTTCTTCAAAGCAATTGCCTTTCTTTAAAAATTTTGCTTGGGATCTTTATTTTTCAATTTCCTTTACAGTCACACACAAATATATATGGGTCTCGTGACTATTTTAGTTCCAGAATGCCTTCACTTAACTCCCTACCTCTCTTGTCCTCTTTCGTTTCTTTCGTTTTTGCCTCTTTCCTAAACCCTTACCCAGCTGTCAAAACAGCTGTGGTGGGTGGAATTTGCTGCACTGGCAGACACCGAAGACTGTGGGATGAGGCAGAGAATTGAGAGCTGGGAGGTTCCTCGGGGCCCTTCATGAAGCAAGTCCATTGATACAAGCACACTCCTGCACCACCCACCAGCCTGCATGAGCTGTACGTGGAGACATGGGTGCAACTGACTGAGAGTGTGAGTGGGACCAAGCAGAGGGCGAAAGGCCATACCATGAGTTCTGCCTGCCGGGAGCCCCATCTGGAATGCACTGTTATCTGAAATGGGATTCATTTTGGGAAACACCACGGGCTGGAGGTGCTGTTGCTTGTGTTGGCATAGCCAAACCCACTTTGGGTCCTGAATATCTCTGAGTTCATCCAGAATTTGAGCAACTTCCAGAATAAATTCAAAAGCATCACTCTCTCTCTAAAAATTGGCATCCCCATGAATAAATTTAAGGATGGGTTCAGCACTCTGGCACTAACTGTGACTTGTTTCACAAAACTTTTGGATATTTGAGGTATCAGAATTAAGAATCTGAAGGCAAGACACAGCACTAGCATTTGCCAAACTGCCTTGCACCTGCCACTCTTCTGTGTTCTGTCTTTGATGCTGACTTGACCACATAGTCCACCCATGCATGGGTGTTGTCAGTCCCGCTTCACAGATGACAAACTGAAGCTCAGAGGGGCTAATGGGCCTGCACAAATAGCCATTATTTAAATGACAGAGCTAGGATGCAAGCCCAGATCTGTGCAGGAGGCAAATAGGTCTACACAGCTCTGAGCTCCAGGCCTCTTTAGTCCATGCTTCTTCTACAATGTCACCACTTTGGACTGAGATTCAGGACTTGGCCTCGTGTCCTGGATCTGCCATTGTCCAGCCACATCACTTATTTTTTTCTGAGCTTCAGTTTGCTAATCTATAAAAGAGGGAAGATTACAGCCTGCCCTGGCTCTTCCGCACAGCTGTCATCAAAATGCAGTGACTTCCTAATGTGTACATAAGAGGTAAGCTCTCAAGAGGTGTACACATGGAAAGCACTGGAGAGGTCACCAGAAATGCCTGCCAGTGCTTTCCTGGGCAGCCCTTCATCTGATTTCAGAAATAACACAGCTAGGGAAAACAATATTTTGTTCAGGGAAGGTAACAAGGCCGGGCAGTGGACACAGAAAAAAGGAATCACAACCCAAGTCTGGCAGAGTAGTGATTTGTGTAGCTGTTGATTTTACAAATCATTAAACATAACAGCAAATATAAAGCAGGGGTTTCCTGCCAGGGTTTAAAATGTGGAGTCAGAGGGTAACATTCTAATGTTTGCAGTGAATGGCCATTACACGGGGCATCGCGTGCAGAGCTGGTAGTCATTGTTCCAGTCTCAGGTCCCCCAGCAGCAGCTATGGCTGTTTATTGTGGCAGGGGCAGAAACCAGAGTGCCTCCTACAATTGGAGCCAAAGGTCTCCTCAGGTCCAGACCTCACATCTGCTCCCAAGAAAACACTAGTGAGGCTGCCAGAACAGAGCTGGGGGGAAGCGCTGGGAAGACACAGCCTATATCTGTTCTTTGTCGTGTAATCAGCAGAAACACCTTTCTTGTCGCACCCATCAACACGGTTTTCAAGCATGAAACTGTAACAACCTGCATTTGCAAGTAATGTCCACACTGAGCCTCTCTTCTCCTCTGTCCAAGACCTTAGTCCCTTGTCCTGTCCTTTCCACCTACAATGATGTCTGGAATGAGGCTGACCCAGAAACTCTTTATGAAGGGAAGGGAAGGATGAGGGAGGGAGAAAGGGAGGAAAAGGGAAGAAAACCCTATAATAGAAATAATAAAAACCTGTCCTAAATAGCTCACGATGTTGCTGTGACAATCAACTAAATAATGTTTATGAAAGTCAAGCTCTATTTAAATGTGAATGATTGCTGCTAGCAGTAGTAGCAGTAGTAGCAGCAGCAGCAGTCCCGCACCTCTACCTCCCTGGTGGATACTCCAGACTGGCCCTTCCTGGTGCTGTTTCCCAGTGGAAGCTTTGGGTGCCTCTAGCTCTGAGTATGAATATCTTTCTAGATCCTAGACTCAGTTCAAATCCTCTATCCCCAGCCCTACTTTACTAGGCACATATGGGCCAGGTCCCGTGTCCTCTGAGTCAGCCACTGTCAGTCACTAGTAGAACAATGCTGTCTTAGCCCATTAGGGCTGCTATAACCACCACAAACTGAGTGACTCATAAACAATAGAAATGTCTTTATCACAGCTCTGAGGCTGGGAAGTTCAAGCTCCAGGTAGCAGCAGATTCAGTGTCCAGTGAGGGCTCACTTTCAGCTTCACAGATGGTGCCTTCTTCCTGTGTCCTCATAGGGTGTAAGGGCCAACACAGCTCTATGGAGCCTCTTTTAGGAGGGCACTAATCTCATTCATGAGGGCCCCACCCTCATGTCCCATTGCCTCCCAAAAGACCCACCTCTAACACTATTACATTTCAACATACGGATTTTCAGGTTTCAATGCAGGCATTTGAGGGAACACAAATATTCAGACCATAGCAAATGTGACTGCTTTGGACAGCATCACAGAGTGCAGACTGTGCACACTGAAGCTAAACGGAATTTCTACAATATATTTAACACCTTGGGCCTTTGTTCTCTCATCTGTGAAATAGGACCAATGAAACGACCTTGCAAAGTTGGGAGGATTCAATAAGACCATGCATACAAAGAACCCAGCCTGGTGCCCAGCACAGAGAAGATGTCCAAACATTACCCGCCTCCTGCCTCCCGCAGAAGATACCACAAAGGGGATGAAAACAAAATATCTGAATAAGATAGCTACTCTTTTTGTCTTTGAGCAAAGTAGAAAAGAGCTCTTTGGTCCCTGGAGAAATGGCATTGCATCTTACTCAGCATAAGCTGCTTGACACATTTTGAAAGCATTGTCTCATACTTTACTATCCCTGACCTGGACTTGGAGGAAAACAGGAAGAGCTGTACAGGGGAGAATCCTTTAAACAGGAAACCTTGTGCTATCCAGATCATTGGTAACCTCTGGGCTATTCACCTTCTTGTATGTTGAAGCAAACACAGAACCAGTAATGAGAATAAGTACTAACATTTTCTCTTTGCCTTATCTTAAAATGTCATTAAAGTGTCCTCCAAGGGTAAATGTAACAGACTGAGATGAAATGTATTTAAAAAGTGAATTTAAAATGAAGGCAATTAGAAAAAAATGGAAGAAAGTAAAGCACATCAAATCACATCACAAAATGTAAGCCCTGAAAGTCTGAATTTGCTAGACAGATGCTGCAGACTAATGACTAAGCATCCCAGCCTCCAAAGCCAAGCAGAAGATACCATCAGCTACCAAATTCTAAGATAAAATCACCACTGAGAGCTATGAGTCCAATTGATAAGGCTAAGTTTAATTTGCAGGAGGGATTTATTATATGCTGAAGAATGACATAATATTTTGAGCACTCTCCTCACTCTCATGCTGTGGTCCTCTGATTGCTATTTGACTTATCCAGACAAAAATAGAAGTGCCATTTTCTTTTGCATACCTGGCAAGGCCTACAGATATTCCCAGCATGGTTCAGGTGATCTATACATTAGCTCATTTCATAGTGTTTGAGTTAAAAACTGCACCCTATGCCCTATGGATCATTCTGGTTTCCCAGCAGTGGAGTTTTAAATACTTTGACAACATGGAAACTTGAAAGATCATATTTCTACAGAATGAGAACATGCTGCTAAATTGGAGATAGAAAAGAAATGCAAACTATTCTATAACATTTTGATTTTTTTTCTTATTTCTATTTCTTTCCAGTGGTTCTAAGATCTACCAGGCTGCTTATTGGTCATGATGGACTTATATAAAGAGCTTTCAGATTGTGTGGGCTCAAACCAGCTCAATGGAAGTCTATTTGTTGAGACTATGTTCAGTAACAACAATGTTTTTGCTAGGGAGCACCTGCTACTTTCCATTAGTTTTATTTTGAGGGAAACAGAAAGCACTTTCATCTCTGAATTGCAGTACATTTGATTTCCTTGGTTTTTAACTCAGAAAGAGTGACTGTGTGCCTTGAGAAATATTCACGGGAGCTCAAGGGATTAAAGAAAGAAATATCCAGATAAAATGTAAATGTAAAAAAAAATAAATTTACAAAAAGGTATGATACTAGTTACTTTTCATTTTAAAAAGCATTTCTTTTTTTGGAAATTTTGTTTTTCTTCCAAATGAAGACTGAATATATCCAGTCTACACTGGACATAACTTTCCAGGGAAGTTGTTTCCAACTACAGACTCTTAGAGGTCACAGACCACACTTCTGCCTGATCTCTGCTGTTCTTTTGCAGTTGCATGACTATTACTGTTCCTTTAAGTATTTGGAGTATTTTTACAGGAAAGGTGGTTTTTAAATTATCAAAATAATAAACTGAAGGAGATGTACACATCTCTCATTTACTGGTTTACATACAAGAGATGCCTTGCAACCAACTATCTGCCTTGTTTTCAAATGTTTTTGAAGTGGCTTCCAAGGCTGAATGTAATATCAGTACATAGGGCATGGGGCACAGCCGAACATTCACTGCCCAGGCCACCCATGGACAGAAAGTCACTCCATGAACTACAGCTGCGATTTCAGCACCACCCATGGACAGGAAGTCACTCCATGAACTACAGCTGCGATTTCAGCGCCACCCATGGACAGGAAGTCCCTCCATGAACCACAGCTGTGATTTCAGCGCCACCCATGGACAGGAAGTCACTCCATGAACCACAGCTGTGATTTCAGCACCACCCATGGACAGGGAGTCACCCCGTGAAATACAGCTGTGATTTCAGCGCCACCCACAGACAGGAAGTTACTCCTTGAACTACAGCTGTGATTTCAGCACTACCCATGGACAGAAAGTCACTCCATGAACTACAGCTGCGATTTCAGCACCACCCATGGACAGGAAGTCACTCCATGAACTACAGCTGCGATTTCAGCGCCACCCATGGACAGGAAGTCCCTCCATGAACCACAGCTGTGATTTCAGCGCCACCCATGGACAGGAAGTCACTCCATGAACCACAGCTGTGATTTCAGCACCACCCATGGACAGGGAGTCACCCCGTGAAATACAGCTGTGATTTCAGCACCACCCACAGACAGGAAGTTACTCCCTGAACTACAGCTGTGATTTCAGCACTACCCATGGACAGAAAGTCACTCCATGAACTACAGCTGCGATTTCAGCACCACCCATGGACAGGAAATCACTCCATGAACTACAGCTGTGATTTTAGCACCACCCATGGACAGGGAGTCACTCCGTGAACTATAGCTGTGATTTCAGTGCCATGAATATGGCACTTGCTATGTAAACACTGTCTGCTGGCAAGTCATCAGAGTGTACCTGTGTTTTCAGAGCCTCAGCTAAATTGAGACTCTCATTCCAGAGTGGCTGGCAACTCTGCCCTAATGGGAGATGAAGGGGAAGCTGAGTGTGAGCAGTTACAGAGCACCTTTCATGGAATGCCTCTTTTACCTGTGGATGGCCTCACACCTCGTTGTTCAACCCACAACCAGGGAGTCCCTCACATGGGAAACGTGTTTATACTAGCAGACACCCGTGGCTCTTGTCTGACCCGTGCTCAGTTTATGCCTGTCTGGCCATTGCTGTGGTGCTGGGAGTCCAACCTTCTGTCCCCACCGACTGCCTCCCTGGCATCCCAGGCAAAGCCCAGCCTGAGGCAGTCCCTGGTTCTTCAGTTGGAAAACACAAAATCATTCCACACAACAGGAAACTAGCTCAAAGATTTACTACTTACAGATGCAGACGGGAGGGTGTAAGAAATTGGAGGGCAGTCCTCCGTCCCCCGGTCACGTGCAATGGGATGAGAGTCAGGCAGAGAGAGTGAGTGGGAACCAGCAGTATGTTTACATATATATGTGGGTGGGTGTGGGTGTGGGTGTGTGTGTGTAAGGGAATAGCGTGTGGGAATGATTTACATACTTTTAAGTTCTTGGGCAAAGGCCTGAATGGTCCATTTAAAGGAAGACTGGGTTGGGCGCAGTGGCTCACACCTGTAGTCCCAGCACTTTGGGAGCCTGAGGAGGTCAGATCACTTGAGTCCAGAAGATTGAGACCAGCCTGGGCAATATGGCAAAGCCCCATCTCTACAAAAGAAATACAATTTTTAAAAAAAGCTGGGTGTGGTGGTGCGTACCTGTAGTCCCAGCTACTGGGTAGTCTGAGGTGGAAGAATCACTTGAGCCTGGGAAACGGAGGTTACAGTGAGCCAAGATCTCATCCCTGCACTCCAGCCTGGATGACAGGGTGAGACTTTGTCTAAAAAGGAAGCCTGGGCAGGAAAGCAGAAGCTCTACTTGCTGGGTGAGAAATGCCTCTAAATTCTGAATCTTGAGCCACCAGCTTGAGCCACTTTGGTGTGGTGTACAACTAGAAACTGTGTCAAGAATGACCGAGACTTACTTCTGGTCTGCGAAAGTTAAACTGGTATTCAAAATAGATGCTGAGGCCACACAAAATTATAAGAATTTACTACAATCTGATAATGCAGACAATGATTTGTTTCCATAAATGTTAATCTGTCTATCCATCTACGTAATACACACATGCCGTGTGCAATCCGGGACAAGTAATATTCTGAAATGAAATCCATTTAATTGTGAGCATGCTATAACCTCCAGAATGTGAACACATATTTGTCTTTTAACCTCTGGAGCTCAGCACCTACCCAGCTGCAGAAGGGAGCTCAGAGTGTGTTTCCTGATTGAAAAATATTTAACAAACTATGGCAGCCTCTCAGAGGGCCGTCAGCAGTCAACTTCTGGTTCTGTGTGGTGAGTGAAACTGTGTGGTGTTTGCTGGGTTCATCCTGGCATGCTGTGACTTGGGTCTTCTTCGTTGTGATGGTTCATGAAATGCTTCATCATTTGCAGAGACCATATGTCGTCCTGGTGGCTTCTGGGGACTCTCTTAGACTCCAACTTTGCAAAAGTAGATCCAAAACACCCAGTAGTGATCAACCCATCCTTGATTATAATTTCAGTCGATAGATTTAAGACAAGCAGCTCTTACCATCCATGCTTCTGTCCCCCAGTGACTAAGAGCAACCCACCTACGGCCATGGAGCTTGGAACACCGTGGTAAGTCCTAACCTGCCCTTGCCGCCCCGGGATTCTGAGTGGGGCTTACATGTGGAGATTTCCCATGGGAAGTTTAGATCTCGGGCTGCCCACCTACCTGCAAGATGACAGGAGGCTCTTTGACTCCTTTCCAAAAGAAGAAATAATATATGATATCAATACATCTGTGTCCATCTAGATAGATATCTAGCAAACTTCTTTATAAAATAGCTTCTAAAGAAAAGCAATCCGAACTAGTTTTATCAAGTGCAGAATGCTGGGAAACACAGGTCATTCGCAAAGCTATCTGGGATGGAGTAACTTTCACAAAAAAGGGAAAGAAAATAAAAAAAAAAAGAGAGAGAGAGAGAGAGCAGATCACGATAGAGGGAGAGATGGACACCACACCCAGCACCGTGTAGCTGCCTCATGCTCCATCCAAGCCAGGGGTGCCAATACCACATCCCCTTCATAAAGATGAAGAGACTCGTCCTCAGGGGGGCGGAATCTGATGGAGGTTACCGAGGCAGCGAATTACTGACCTAAGATTCTAACTCCAATCTTCTGATTCCAAAGCCTTTGTTACTTGCTCCACCCCACAACTGCCTCACAAGCATCCCAGAGTCCAGTCAGCAGACAGCAGAAGAGACTGTCAGCAGACCACCTTGGAGGGGATGCTTGGAGCTGCCTAACGTGTGATTCAAAGATGAATTCCATGTGTTTGGAGAAGAAGCCCTAGCCTCAACACAAAGGTTGGCCACATTCCAGCCAAGGTAGCACGGAGTGAAGGCCCGTGGAGGGAGAGCTGGGCTTTTCTGAACTACTTCAGTACACCTTGCTGTGCCTTGGCCTGCCGTGTTTCATCCCCATGGCTGTCCTCAGTGATGTGCATGGTCACTGCTCCCTTCACCACTGAGAAGACGGGCACAGGACAGTCAGGGGATGTGTCCAAGGTCCCACAGCAGGAAGGGCTGGAGCCAGAATGTGGTCTGAGAGGCTGGATATACAAAGAGACAATGGCATGACCATCTGTACAAATGGAACTATGGCCCACAACCTGCAGCAGCCAGCCCAGGAAGCCAACCCGTCACCTGCAGCAGCCAGGATGGATGCTGGCCTGCCCTCAGTAAGTTACGCCTGTGGGAAGTCAGGCCCCTATCTCTAGCCCCAATCTAGGAATCAAGCAACCCATAAGAGTCAGTCCCAGATGCCCAAGACCTGGTTAATAACTCACAGCTGCCCCAACTCCTGCCCTGACATCCCACTGAGGACAAACCAAGAAAGACAAATGTGCTCCCCTTAAACGCACACGGGATGCCCCGATTCTAGTTGCCGCCCCAGCTTCCAGGCCAGCAGCCTCCACTGGGGCTCACCGGGTACCTTCCCTTGCCCTGGAAAGCTCCCACGCCCACACCGGGTGCCTTCTCTTCCCCTGGGAAGCTCCCACACCCAGCCTGCCTGAGTCGCTGCAAAAATGTAAGTGACAGTGGCCAGCTCTTTCGCTCTTACTCCAGCTGGAGATAAGCAGCCTCTGTCTGTCCTCGTTTGGGCACCTTGCTCCTTCCCAGGAGTCTGAGAGACTCTCCTGCCCCACAGTGTGGGCTCCACCACCCTCCTGCCTGCTGTGGGAAATCAGGAGGGTGAAGGTGAAGCTGGACTTGGCCCAGAGGTGCCCACAGGGACGCCCAGAGCTGCACAAGCTCCCTCCATCTTGCCTCTGGGACCAGCTCTGCATTGCTCCAAAGCCCTCATCAGTGTCTGCTTTCTGTTGCAATAACTGAATACCTGAGATTGGACAATTTATAAAGAAAAAAATTATATCTGACAATTCTGGAGGCTGGAATTCCATGGTTGGGGGTGCATCAGATGAGGGCCTCCCCTCTGCACCATGACTTAGCCGAGGGCATCACATGGCAAAGGGTAGGGGTGTTGCCCTGCCGTCTCTCTTCCTCTTCCTACAAAGCTGCCAGCCCCGTCGGGGCCCGCCCTGATGACCTCATCTAACCCTAATCACCTCCCAGAGGCCCCACCTCCAAATGCCATCAGCATTTGGACTTGAGGATTAAGGTTCCAAGCACATAGGCATACACATGCACACATCACACACACAACACACACACTCACACACAGTCATACACACAACACACACATACACATGCACACAACACACACATACAGAAGTGGGGCCAACTTATTGACATTTTGTCTACACAGCTCTGGCCAAAGCACTCCTGAGCCGAGGCTCGGCACTGCCGGGCAGCCGTCACAGTCAGACCAGCAGGGGCCACTGGAGCTGTGGACGCAGCCTCGGGATAGATGCAGCGGGGCCCCACGCCTCTTCCCCTGGTTTAAATGTTTATCCAAAAAAGAAAAACGTAGCTTGAGATTTCACTCTGTGTGGCACGGACACGGTCACACACAACACACATACACAACACACACTCACATGAATCACACACACACACACGCACCACACACAACACGCACACTCACAGTCACACACGCACACACAACACACACATACACCACACACAAGTCACACACACACTCACATGCACCACACACATGCACACACCACACAACATGCACACTCACAGTCACACACACACACAACATACACATACACCACACACAACAGTCACACACACACAACACACACTCACATGCACCACACACACACATGCACACACCACACACAACATGCACACTCAGTCACACATGTACACACAACACACACATACACCACACACAACACAGTCATACACACACATGCACACACACATGCACACACCAGACACACCATGCAAAAAGTCATACACATATGCACACACAACACGCACACACATCACACACATTCACACATGCACACACAACACACATGCACATGTACACACATACACATGACACATTTGCACACCACACAATACACACATGCACACACGCACTCATTCACACACATACACATTTGCACACCACATACACAACCCACACATTCACACACATACAACACACTGTCTCACACATGCACATACAACACACATACAACACACACATACACAACACACATTCACATACCACATATACGCACCACACACAACACACACATGCACATACCACACACATTCACACACACATGCACACACACCACACACAGTATTCACACATGCACACACATGCACATTTCCACACACATACACATACCACACACACATTCACACACATGCACACACATATACCACACACAACACACACATTCACTCACCACACACACCACACATTCACACACAACACACACGCATTCACACACCACATAACATAACACACACATACAACACACATTCACACAGCACACGCATTCACACACACACCATCCCAGTGTCCTCCCCTGTCCTCCCCTTTCCCCTCACAGCCTGCTTAAAAATACAGCCTTGCTCCCTGTAATCTAAGCCCAAACCGCCAGGACCTTCAGGGAAAAATCCCTCAATGGGGAAGCCAGTTGGAAAAGAAACAAGTGCCTGGCAGCCACACAGAGTGAAATCTCAGGCTACGTTTTTCTTTTCTGGATAAACATTTAAACCAGAGGAAGAGGCGTGTAGCCCCGCTGCATCTATCCTGAGGCTGCGTCCACAGCCCGCGTGGCCCCCACTGGTCTGACAGTGAGGGCTGCACGGCAGTGCCGAGCCTCAGCTCAGGAGTGCTTTGGCCAGAGCTGTGCGGACAAAATGTCAATAAGTTGGCCCCACTTGAAAACATGATAAAAGTCTGAAGCTGACGCTGCAAGATGTGACTCTAGCCTGGTGTTCTGTAATAGGGAGCGGAGTGGACGTGGGAATACCAGCTTCTTTCACCATTTTCGCCTGTCCTAAGTTGTGTGAGTTTTTCTCTTTAAAACCCTGGTCTTCACCCTTCACTCCCACTTCGTCCAATGTCTTTCTTGGACACTGAAAATTACTTCGCACAACTTTTTATTTTTTAACTTGGAGCAATTGAGAATATCAGAGAAAGGTAAATTCCTCAATGACACCAGATGATCCATTTAAGAACAATACAAAACCAATACGTGTATTACATTGCCAGAAGTTTCAAGCCCAATTTTATGAACGGTGACCCCTTTCCACATTAGAGAAAACAGATAGATAAGCACTTGGATAGCCAAGTCAATAAATAGAAAGACAAAGCCAAACTTTGATTATCTGCATTTATGGAAAGATCAGTACAGGTAAGTCAAAACCACAAAAGTACCCAAATCTCATTTGAGATTTTACGATTTATGTCAACTTTCCTTCCATCAACCTTTTGTAGGAATATATTGAAGGGGGGAGGATACGGAAAATAGAAATACTACCTTTTAAAAAACAATGCCTAAATACCTTTGTTTTTCCCTTTCTTCTGGAAGTACACATGCATAGTAAAGTAGAGTCCTCGTGAACCAAACATTTCCATTTTGGAGTAACACACGAGTCACACACAGCTGATTCAAATCTTGACTGAGCAACTGAATTAGCAGTGAAGCCTTGGAGAAGTTTCTTAAATGTCCTAAATTCATCTTCTTTTTCTAGAAGAGAGAATAATAGTCCTATCTCTCAGGGTGTGGGCATCAGCCAGGCACAAGGTAGACACTTGCCAATCACAGGGCTGACTACTGACTCATACCCTGTGAGGGTGGGCAGTGCCTGCAAGCGGCAGTTTCTAAACAAGCAAAGGCAGCGCAGAAATACGCCAGACCCACGGTTTCTATCACCAAAGCCAAGCCCGCTGCACGGCCATAGAGAAGAGGGTGTGCGTCTTCCCTCCTCTTCCACATGGACTCCAAAACTGCTCTTTTGAGAACTTCCCACTGTCTGGGTGCCCTTGCATTAATGAGACTCAGCTTGGCCACAGACAGGAAGGACCAGGAAGCAACAGTGTTCCCACCTGGGTCCCTACCCCACAGAAGGGACTGTCCTGCATCTGTGGGGGGCAGCAGGGCAGAGGGGGAGGAAAAGTGTTAGCCAGGGTTCGGAGGACCCTAATCCAAGTGCACCTCCATTCCAAAGAGGTGTAGATGTTCTAGAAACTGAAATTGGACCTCCCTGAGTTCCAATTTCCTTTGTTTGCAAAGAGCATAATCCTGAGTTATCTTTAAAGCCCTGGCATGGGCTTTGAAGTCAGACAGATGTATTTTGAGCATGGTCTGTGTTGCTATTTACCAGACATGCAAGCTCGGGCAACTGGTTTACATTCCTGAGCCTCACTGTCCCCTTTTGAAAATCCCCTTACCCGAAACCATTGCTATGGAAACAAATAATAGACATAAAATACACAGGAATAAGAGCTCACTCGATGATAGCTGTTATCGCTGTTATTGGCATCTCCATTATCATGATGATGATGATTACAAACCCAAATAATTAAGACATAAAGTAAAGATGAAAAAACACGCTGAGCTGACTCCTGGACCTGGGGCTCCATAAACCTTGGCTGTTCTTATTATCAGAGCTCTCGTTACTCCCTGCATAGCCCTCCATGGCTGTCTAGAGGCCAGCGTTCCCTCTGTAAATTGTTATCATTTCTCTTTAGTGGGAGCCCCCTTGCAGGGAGATCACAGCCAGAGGGAGAGGTAATGCTCTGGACAAGGCCAGTCCCAGATGGCAGGAGGCAGGACAGCACGTGCCTGGGAGGGAAAGACGGGGCTGGGGGGGCTTGGACACTTGCTGAAACCCCCCAGCCTGAGCACGTTCTGAGAGGAGACGCCTGCCATTCCTCAGTCAACACCCGTGATGCCTCAGCACCTCTGCATTACCTCCTTCTTGCTCCCTGCCTTGCCCTCAGACCTGGAGCTCCTGAGCCACTCCTTGTCTTTGGCCCCAAGACCTGTGGTATCTTCCCTTCAGCTCCTCTGTCTCCTCCACCCTTCCGATGCCCCCTCCAGGTGCCTATTGTATTAGTCCATTTTCACGCTGCTGTAAAGACATACCCAAGACTGGGTAATTCATAAAGGAAAGAGGTTTAATTGACTCACAGTTCCGCATGGCTGGGGAGGCCTCAGGAAACTTACAATCATGGCAGAAGGTGAAGGGGAAGAAAAGTATCTTCTTCCCAGGGGGGCCAGGAAGGAGAAGTGCAAGTGGGGAAATGCCAGACGCTTATAAAACCATCAGATCTCCTAAGACTCACTCACTATCATGAGACCAGCATGGGGGAAACCGCCCCCATGATCCAATCACCTCCACCTGGTCCCGCCCTTGACCGGTGGGGATTACAATTCTAAGTGAGATTTGGGTGGAGACAGAGCCAAACCGTATCACCCATCCTGCCTCTCGGTGCTTGATTCTCATGCTCACTGTACCTTTTCTTCTCCCCTCCCCTCCCCTTCCCTCCTCTCCTCTCCCCTCTTCTCAAGGGTGCCCTTGTTGGAGAACATGGGGGGCCAAATTCCAAACGTGGCAAGAGATAACAAATGACTTGTCTGGTGGCTGAACCCTGAGCTGGGAGCACTGCCTGGAGAAAACTGTAAGCCCTCTGCCATCCTGTGCCAGGCCAGAAGGCACCTCACTACAGAATTCAATTATAGCAACAACAATCACATGGAATAATAATAAATCAGTAGTTATAGGCCAGGCACACTTGTAATCCCAGCACTCTGGGGAGCTGAGTCAGGAGGACTGCTTGAGGCCAGGAGTTTGAGACCAGCCTGAGCAACATAATGAGACAACATCTCTACAAAAAATACAAAAATTAGCTAGGCATGGTGGCGCATGCCTGCAGTCCCAGCTACTTAGGAGGCTGAGGCAGGAAGATCACTTGAGCTGGGGAGTTTGATGCTACAGTGAGCCGTGAGCACACCACTGCACTCCAGCCTGGGTGACAGAGTGAGACCCTGCCCGCAACTCAAAAAAAAAAAAAAAAAAAAAACCGTTATTACACATTGACTGTTCCAGGCACTATCCAAAGCACTTTGGGTAAATTATTTTCTGTAATCTTCATCATCTAGAGGCTGAATAGGCAGACTCCAAGCACTGTCATGCTGCAGTGGATGGTAAATGAGTGCTCGGCTACTCCAGGGAGCCTCAGGAGCCAGACAGTCTTTTTTTTTTTTTTTTTTTTTTTTTTTGAGACGGAGTCTCCCTCTTTCGCCCAGGCTGGAGTGCAGTGGCATGATCTCAGCTCACTGCAAGCTCCGCCTCCCGGGTTCATGCCACCCTCCTGCCTCAGCCTCCCAAGTAGCTGGGACTACAGGCACCCACCACTACACCTGGATAATTTTTTGTATTTTTAGTAGAGACAGGGTTTCACCGTGTTAGCCAGGATGGTCTCCATCTCCTGACCTCGTGATCCGCCCGCCTCGGCCTCCCAAGGAACCAGACAGTCTTTGGAAATGGTCTTTGCAGTGAGACCTAGATCATCGTCTTACAGGCACCAGACAAAAGTGGCAAGAACTCTAGTGGGTGAGTTGGCAGGCCAAGACACAAGCCCCAGGTTTAACATCAACAGACTGAAAGGTGCTTGGCAAACTACTTCGTCTCATTGCTAATATTAAATGGGGCTGGACAATCTCTGAGGTTTTTAAGGCTTCTAGATTTTTAGAAACTTCTACTTTTACATCCAGAGACCTTCACATAATTAAAAATCAATATCCTCCCTTAGAGGAGGAACAAGTGAGGTACCAGCATCATTATTGGCAAACATTATTTCACACCTCTAGTGCAGCTTGATAAACACACGGAGTGTGTGAGAGATAAATGCTGCTCACTAATGCATCCAGTTCTCCCCCTTGGGAAATGTAGACTTGTATTTCCTGCCTCTCTGAAGTTAGACGTAGCCACCTGACTTGCTTTCACCAATGAAATATGAGCAGAAGTAGCTTGTATTTCTTCTAGACAGATGCCTTTCAGAATGAATGCACGATGCACAATTTCCTCTTCCTCTTGCCTGGTGACAGGGGATGTCCCAGAGCTCCTGCCCACCATAAAGCGACACACAAATGAACAAGAGATACACCCCGAGAGCTGGGGCTTGCTTGTTACTGCAGCGTATGCAGGCTGTCCTGACTGATACACTGAGCACCTTGCAAGTGCCAGGCACATTTCCAGGCTCAGGAGATGCCACTGGTGAGGGCAGCTGCTGTTGACGAGCACCCCCTTGTCAGGCAACACCTGAGTTCTTTCAGGAAGACAGTTGAAAAGTTACAGGAGATTGGAAGAGACATCCTGAGATAGTCCACAGTGGAGCTCTGTGGTCAGGACATGCCAGCACCCTGTCAATGTCACAGTGCAAAGCCAACTGACTCCATCATAAGGGACTGTCAGTGTGTGTGAATGCCACCTACACCAGCCAGTCCTGTCTGCCATAAGGACTATAGTGACACAAAGGAGGCAGGAAGGGAGGGCCCCTGTGTGATTAGCTCTTACACGCAGTCCCTTAGGCATTTGTCTGAGTGGATCATCTGCTGTAGACAGAACAGATTGGGTCCTTAGTGCACATTCAGGGCAAATGGAACTGACTACCTGTATGCAGCATTCATGCTTTTAGCAAAGCTTTCTCACTGCATAGCTATTTGGCTTGTTAAGCCTGCAATTCTGGGTCTGGGCCAAGACATGGGGAACAGTGATGCTAATGAGAACACCAAAGAAACACAGCAGTAAGCGGCGAGCCACAGCCGCCTATTACCTTCACACCTGCCACATTCCCTTCAGTGTAAATTGACTCGCTGTCCCATCCATCCTTATCATCTCTCTGGGGTTCAGGTCTCCAGAAATGTCCCGGCCTCTACTCACATATCTATACAACATGCCATTGATAAGGCAGTCGTTAAACAACTAGCATTTTGCATTCTGAAGTGAAAATTAAAAATGCACAGTCCTTTTTAATTCAATTTCTAATTAGTGCACTATATACAACCCAGAATGATGGCAAATTGATAAAATATGCAAATGAAGCAACAATTCATAGACTATATTAAAATTTCCATTTAAACTGTTAGTTAAGCTATACACATTTGTAAATGTAAACATTAACCCTCAGGAAAAATATTTTCTAAACTACAGCATAATTGGAAACTCCAGAATCATATACAACAGAAAAGAGATCATTACACAGACGTGTACCTTTATCGCCATAAATAAAAGAACATTTCCACAGAGTTGTTGCTTCCTCTCGGCTGCTCCCACAGCACTTTCCCTGGCTCTCCGTGGAGCCATTGTTTATAGCCTCCTCCAGGGTAGGCAGTGGGGTACGCATCTGCCTCCTGAGCCAGCAAGCCATGCCCTCAAGGGCAGCACGAAGCCTGGCCCATCCGTACTCCCCGTATTGCCCAGAGCACAGGAGGTGCTTGCAGCCCTCCGCTGAACTGGTTGAAATTGAACAATATGGAGTTGAACTGAATTGGATCAAATTTAATGAAATTAAATGGCACGTGATGTCTGTAGGTTTCCATTTTAGAAGCTATGCAATGAAGTCCAAATTCCCTCCTCTTCTACCAGATGAAATGCCTCAGGCCAACATGCAAGCAAGCCTGGGATCAGGAGATGCTCAGGATGGAACAATCCACAAACTGAACCAGGCTGCCTGTCCACAGGTGCACTAACCACCTTCCCACCCAGGAAGGTGTTGGAACCCCACTCTCAATGGAGAAAAGGTACTCCTGGACCAGCTGGCACAGCCCCTCTCGTAAGCCCTCCCAAAACCCCTCAATGTGAAGGATCTCTGCTAATGTGAGGCCGAACAACACAGGATTCAGAATCTTCAAAACAGCTGCTGTGACCTGTTATTTTCATCAGTCTCTACAAATAATTATATCATAATTTATGTTGAGGAAAAGGTGGCTTTCAAGAAAAGTATACTTAGCTGTTTTTTACCTGACAATGAAAAACACAAAAATCTTCTATTTTTACCCGATTTTGCCTAACGTGCTAGAAAGCTTAGAGCAAAACAATGTACAAGAGTGGTCAGCACCCCTTGATCTCCAGTTCTTGGTTGGGTATTGCCATCTCTCTTCTACTTGGTTTCTTCTTTCTTCTTTCTTTTTGAGACAGAGTCTTGTTCTGTCACCCAGGCTGGAGTGCAGTGGCACTATCTGGGCTCACTGCAACCTCCACCTCCTGAGTTCAAGCAATTCTTGTACCTCAGCCTCATGAGTAGCCCAAGTAGCTGGGATTACAGGCGCCGCCACCACACCTGGCTAATTTTTGTATTTTTAGTAGAGATGGGGTTTCACCACACTGGCCAGGCTGGTCTTGAACTCTTGACCTCAAGTGATCCACCCGCCTTAGCCTCCCAAAGTGCTGGATTACAGGCATGAGCCACCACACCCAGACTCTTATTTCTTTTCTGTTGTTGTTGTTTTACTATATTCTCTACTGGTATTTATTGAAAATAGTCTCTATTTCCTTTTGAAAGTATAAAGGCAATAAATAATACATAAACCAAAATAGAACAAATATCGAACTATATTAGAACTGCTGAGCAAGAAAAGCTGTGCTAGCTGCCCAAACGCTGCCATAAACTCCACACTTCCTTCCGTCATGTCAAAATTCATAAACAGGTAACAAATTATATTGGGAAAATAAGATTATAATTTTAGCATTGAAAAAAGACAAATGATTTGGAAAACAGCATTAGTGATTTTCCAAAAGACCCATGAATTAATAATCTATAAATAGGAACCGCATTCCCATGCATTGCCAGGCATTCTAATCACCTCTGCAAAAGACTAGTCAATAAGAGGGAAAAAATTGGTGTTTTAAGGGGGAGGAAGAAGCAGAGATGGAAACTGTCGTTATTTGAATTCAATTGTGTTTCAAGTGATGTTTTGTAGAGTGTTCTGCGTACAGTATCTGTGGGATAGGGTCATAATTCTTATTTTATAGGTGAGACCAATTTTACCAAGGCACAGAAATAAGTAACTCGGCCAATATCCTAGCATCAGAAGAAATCATAAATGATCCATCCAAGGTTAAGTCCTAAGGTTTTCTCTCCAAAAGGTGCCATGTACCATTAGTGACTCCAAAATCCTTTCAAATGTTCTGTGTGCTTCACATTGATTATAACATTTTATCCTCCTACTAACTGTAGGTAGAAGTTAGACTAGGAATCCGCCCATTTTGGGAGTGAAGAAACTGAAGCCAAGAGGCGTATGTGCCTGACTGGGTCATAACCAGGCTCTGATATTTCACAGCAGAACTACACTCCAGCTCTCTCTATCCCGGGGCTAGAACATTGTCACGCAGCTTCCTTTGCACCATCCTGTAGAAAAGCGAGGACTTGAGTCTTAAAGACTCACCTTCCAGCTGCTCATTCCAGGAGAGGGAAGAGTCTAATGTGCCTGCATGCACGTTATCCTACCGAGAGTGTTCATATGTGATTTTATGCCCCTTCCCTCCACGCTAGACTTAGCAACAATATTTTTTAAATGTGGGTAAGGCTTTGGGGATAAATCCAGAAATGTGTTCTGTCCCCCAGATGCAATTACAATGCATCCAGCCTGTGTGTCAAGCTCCTAAGCCTTCTGAAAATATCTTCCTCCTGACCATTTTGTAAGATAGCAGAATCAAGAAAACAAAATTCCAGGAAAGAGGAGGTTAACTGGATGCCTGATTGCCTCCAAAAAGCAATTAAGACTCAAGCAGAAAGTTCCAGTTGATACTGAACCAGTTCAGCCCTGGTATCGCCAAGCCCATGAAATCCCAGAGCTGCCCTGCCTCAGTATAGACTGACATGTTTCTAATGGCCATGATGATGCATATTCAGCAGCGTAAACACCATTGGCCTTTCCTAAATCAATATTCATGGAAACCCTCAGGCAATCAATATGCAGAGGGTAAGCCTTCCCCAGGGTAGCTTCTGCTACAAATGGCAGCAGGCCCCTCCCACCCTCTAAACCCAGGCATCATGCACTTCCTTGACGCACACTAAGTCTTCAAAACGCATGCCTGGGGCTGCCCTCTTGTCATATACACATTGATTCACGTAGAAAACTCTTCAACCTCCCTAACAGAAACGTACCTCGCCCACCACTCATCAGAGATTTTGGCTGAGGGTTATAAACTGAGCAGCCTATTTTTGTTTTGTCTTTGATTTTTTGTAAGTTTAACTGAGCTCCATCAGGTAGTTCTAATAAGTCTAATTCCAACTTGCAGGGGAGGGGTAAGGACTGGGGGACTCATGGTCTCCATGAAGCTAAGCAAGGAGGAAGATAAGGATGCCTTCAGCTAGCACAATGCCCAGCCACCCATAACTGCTAAAGAAATCTTTTTTAAAAAAATCTTATTTTTAGTATTTGTGGGTACACAGTAAGTGCATTTATTTATGGGGTATACGAGAGATTTTGACACAGGAGTACTGTATTAGTCTATTCTCACACTACTAATAAAGATATACCCGAGACTGGGTAATTTATAAAGGAAGGAGGTTTAACAGACTCACAGTTCCACGTGGCTGGGGAAGCCTCACAGTCATGGCAGAAGGCAAAGGAGGAACAAAGTCACGTCTTACATGGCAACAGGCAAGAGAGTGTGTGCAGGAAAACTCTCATTTATAAAACCATCAGATTTCATGAGACTTATTCACAAACACGAGGACAGTATGGAGGAAACCATCCCCATGATTCGATTACCTCCACCTCACCCCCCCTCCTTGACACGTGGGGATTATTACAATTCAAGGTGAGATTTGGGTGGGGACACAGCCAAACCATATCACATACAACGTGCAATAGCCACATCTGGATAAATGGGGCATCTAGAGAAATGCTTTCAGGAACAAAAGAGAAATTGAGTGAAATCCTCCTGTTCTTGCAGCTGATACTCAAGTCTAGTTTTATATGGCTCCAAACGCCTCCACCATGAGCTCAAGGCAGTGAGACTGACTGAAAAACCCTCTCTATTACAGACCACAACATTGAACCCAACATCCCCCTAAGTAGGTGAGTGGTTAAAAGCAAAGGAGTCCCTGGAGGTCCTTGTGTTAAGTGAAATAAGCCAGGCACAGAAAGACAAATATCCCAAGCTCTCACTCAAATGTGGGAACTATAAAAAAAAAAAAAAAAAGGGTGATCTCATGGAGGTCGAGAATAGAATGATGGATACCAGAGGCTGGCAAGGGTGTGTGGGTGGGAGGATGTGTGGGTGGGATTGAACAGAGACGAGTCAATGGGTGTAAACATACAGTTAGACAAAAGGTGTAAGTTCCATTGTTCAATTCAGAGTGGCTGACTATAGTTAACAACAATGTATATTTCAAAGTAGCTGGAAGAAAGGACTTGAAATGTTCCCAAGTCATAGAAATGATCAGTACTTGGCTGGGCGCCATGGCTCACGCCTGTAATCGCAGCACTTTGGGAGGCCGAGGCGGGCGGATCACGAGGAAGTCAGGAGATCGAGACCATCCTGGCTAACACAGTGAAACCCCATGTCTACTAGAAATACAAAAAATTAGCCGGGCATGGTGGCGGGCACCTGTAGTCCCAGCTACTTGGGAGACTGAGGCAGGAGAATGGCGTGAACAAGGGAGGCGGAGCTTGCAGTGAGCCGAGATCACGCCACTGCACTCCAGCCTGGGCGACAGAGTGAGACTCCGTCTCAAAAATAAAAAATTTAAAAAAAAAAGAAATGATCAGTACTTGAGGTGATGGACACCCCAAATACCTTGACTTGATCATTGCGAATTCTATGCATGTAGCAAAATATCACATATACCCCATAAATACATAAAATATTGTGTATCAATTTTTAAAAAGCAAGGGACTCAGAAATGACCAGGTGTTAGTTGGGTGATTTTGTGTAGGCCATTTAACCTCCATTGGTGCTCCAGCTTTCTCATCTGTAAATTAGGGAAAACTTGGAGCACCTCCTGGGACTGTAGTGAGAATTAAATGAAATTGTGAAAATAAAAGACTGAACACAAGTCCTGCGCAGAGAAAGGATTCAGTTAATGGTAGCCGTCACTCTTCATCAGCCTGGAATGCATTAGATTCAGGAAACATAAGTGCTCATCTTTTTTTCTCCCTTTAAAGTAGAGGATACCAAGATACAGTGAGGAATTAGCACAGCTCCCGCAGGGGAGGTGTGGGCAGGAAAGGAGGGCTGAGAAAGGAGTGGCCAGGGACTGTCTAACTGGATTCCTTCTGTTTCCTGCAGGTTGTACTCACATCATTGGTCTTATGGGGAAATTTTAAGACCTCCCACTTGTAAGGTTTTATAGCCCTCTATGGAATATTGAAGAAAGAGTAAAATGCATCCAAAAAAAAAAAAAAACACTAAACTGGATAAATTCTAAGGCCTCTTCAGGTCTTAAGATGGCCATTTTCTAGGTCCTCTTGCTGCAGCAGTGAAATCCACAAACACGGACAAGTCAGTCAGTTACGTGCCTTTCAGAGAAAACTTCTGACTTAGGAATTCCAGCTATTTGGCCCAACCCATATTAGATTGTGTTATAAAGACATGGTAAATTACATCACGAAGGGAAGAGCAGAGGAAACATAATATTCCTTCAAGACCCATCAGCTCAGATGTTAGCAGAACACCCCTAAGGAGGAAAACAAGAAATTTTGGGTTTGAACTTGGTACTTCCCAGCAGCCCTGGGAGTGGGGTCAGAAGCCCTGCTGGGGGCCAAAGAACTCTGAGGATCAAAGATGTTGAGCATCACCTTAGAGGCCAAAGATCAGAACAGTGGAGGTGGCCTTTGAAGCCCAACCTGTCTTTCACCAGAGAGTGAGAACGGCCTCTATTTCCAGGAAGCTCACTGCAGCAATAATCATGATGCTCTGAGCCTGACAAGGTGAGAATTTACTTTCAGCACCTGCAATAGTTTCCTATTAAAGTTACATATGAAACCCTGCCGTCTTGTACCAACTAATGTTCACACCAGCGTTCCTATTTTCAAGATAAATTGCAAAATAAAAACTCTTGTTTTCGTTAGCAAAAGAAAACTTCTTTAGGAGGATAAAAGGGAGATGAAGAAACAGAAAACACATCAGCTCTCCATCCAGATTACAGAAAGCAGAAAACATCCTGAAGTGAATAACATAGGAATCGCTCTTTTTCCCCCCTGAGATAGCAGGTTACTTATGAGAAACAAGCTTGAAATCTCTGCACCTGGACCAGCTTCCAGAGGCTTTTGTCCTGACCAGGTGAGAGGGGAAAAAAAAAAAAAAAAAAAAAAAAAAAACTGATGGTCGGTCAGTGGGTAAACAGTGACACCCAGTGGTCACTTAGATAACCAGCTGTGCATTCTCCCAATTCAACTATCCACATAGAAAAAAAAATGGTCAAGTAGTATGCATTTTGTTATTCAACAGATATTTACTGAATAACTAGAAGATGCTAGATGTTATTCTATTCATTTTATACCACTCTTCAAATTACGGATGTTTCCCCACCGAAACCGACCCTCACAAAAGAAAAACTATCTGGGGCCTTGGATCCTCTTTCAAAGGCTCAAGGTGAGACCCACGGAGAGGGGTCAGCAAATTCCAAAGGAGATGCAGGGCTTTTCCCAGGGTCACAACCAAATCAAGGCGCCACGTGGCAGCCAAGCACGAGTCTCCAGAGGCTTCTCTCAGCGCTCCCATGGGAAAGGGTTTGTGCATGTTGGGTTCAGGCCACGTGAGCACCGCGGGCGTTGATCGTAGTATTAATACAAGGATAATTGCTCTTCCTGGCTTTCTTTGACTAACCTCCATAACTTGGTTAAGCCATGTTATCTTCTACTTTTATGATGAGTAAATTGTCATTTTCATCATTTCTTTGTAGCTGGCTTTGGGGAAGTAAAGGAAACCAGAGAAGAAGAGGCTGAAAGAATTGGTTTCCACCGTGACCTTTGAACCCTCGGGCGAGTTGTCAGCCTCACTGAGGATGAGTGTACTCCATATCAAGTGAGGTCACTTTACTCGCAAGCTTGTTGTGAGGACTGAATGAAACCTTTTCTTTTTTCTTGGAGTTTCAGAGCAACGTCCCTGAGCCCAGCCCCACACTGGCTTGAGCCCTGTCGTCGGTCAAGACACGGTGCTTTCTCCCCTCCCCTCTGCACTCCAGCTTACTCTGCAGTCAGGAGGTGGCACCACGATCCCCTTTAAGACTTTGCCACTTGGGCCAGCTGCGCCCCTGTGAAATTCCCTGTTTCTATTGCAGGCCACAAGGACGAGCTGAGAAATGGCTTCCAGTCACCATCTAGATTAGAAAGCCTATATTTCAAATATAGATATATCAATTATGCCTGTAAAAAGACATTAAATCCCACAGGGCTGTAATTCCTAGACTCTACGAATTTCATCTTGCACCAAATTTTATTATTTCATTTATAATTCGGATTCTTCAAATCTAAGAGTGCCTGGCTCAAAATTAAAATACCTACAACTATGCCAAAACTGGACTCTTTAATTGCCTTACTGGAACCAGTAGCTGATTCAAAGCAAAACGAAACAAAATTCCTCCTTTCTCTGATTTAGTGAATCAATGATCTAACTGAACTCATTTTTGGACTGAGTTTGCGGCACTTGCAGCCCTGAGGGACACATTCCCCCACCACACTGAGCCTGCACTCCCATCAATGCAAATGAACATTTTGCTTATTCAGATTGGGGGGGTGAAGGAAGTCACAAAAGGGTTAATACATATGGCATTTCATTGTAATATGTACTCACTACTAACTAAATTAAAAGAGATGTGAGTTATTAAAAACTCCATCTTAAGAAAGTAACAGAAATCAGAGTTCAGATTCGTTGTTACTGAGTTTCCAACCAACACCTGTGAGTTAAACCTACGGCCACCCTGAAAACGGTTCATATTTTCAAAAGCTTCATCGAAGATGAGCTGCACTAAAGATTCATATTACATATCATGCTGCAATAAGAAAATCAAATAAGGCCTTTCCATATTCAATAATAAAGTTTAAAGAAAAGTAATATTTGTTTAGCCAGTTAGCCAGAAATTAGATGTATCAGAATACATCATTCTTTGAGCATTTTAGAAAAATCAGGGTATTTCTACATTGTGTTTTTCTTTGTAAGCCCTCAAAAAATATAGAGAATATTCTTGAAATTATAGTGTTTGTCTTCTGGAACAAAAAATACTAATCAAGGAAATCTACAAATTTAATGGTTTATTGAGTTTCCACAGGAAACACTGTGTGAGGAGGCTGAGGCTTAGAAGTTCAAAAACTAAAAGGATTGTTATGATTTCGATAATAATATCTTATGTCTGCACAACATCTGAACTCAGTTCTTTCCTGAGGTTCTCTCATTCTTCAAGCAGCCTCTGAGGTAGGCAGGAGCGATAATATCGGTTCCATTTTACAGTTAGGAAAACAGAGGCTCACAGAGTCCCAAGGCTTAGCGGGAACGTCCGCCCTGCTCTCTGGGTTCTGAAGAACACAGTCGTGAAGGATGTAAGCCATTTCACATTTTAAGACGAAACAGATAACTTGTGCTAAATGCATGTCCCAGCCCTGCCCTGAGGGCAGGTGGGCACCCGGTGGCCTGCAGGGCTGACAATTGTGAGAGGGAAGCAAGCTGGGGAGGCTCCCTGGAGAGCTGGTGCAGAGCCTGGAGGACAAGGAAGATGTGGGGCACGCGGAGAAGGAGACAAGGAAGTCGAAGCGGGTAAGGGCGCAGGAGGCCGGATTTCCTGTGATGCTGGACACGTGGCAGGACGCGGGGAGAGCCCGTGGTGCTGCAGGGTGGCATGGGAAGCCCTGGAAGGTTGCCTGCTCTGCAGCAGCTGGAGGGAGCAAGACAGCCCTGTGGCTGGCAGGGTCAGAAGAAATCTAAGAGGACTAAGAGCCATAGCCTGCCCTCGAACTCAGGTGTGCTGTCTCCGATTCAGGCGAAACTCAGGGTTCACCACTGAGAGACGTTTCACCCGGCCCTCATGGTGCCCTCCTCAGGGTTCCACGGAATCCTAACGCACGCTCCTCGTTTCATTTTAGGCTTTGCATTAATTTCAACCTGTTCAAGACATGAAAGCACTAGAGAGCTGAAAAATTTTTGGAGGACTCCTTTCAAATGTCATGCTGCCAAGGCTCCCTGCTGCCTTTTCCATATTTAATCAAAAGCACTCGGTTGCCTGCTTTCAAAGTCGTTAGTGCCAAGCCTCCTGCCCAACAGCCCTAAGCTGCAGCCCTTCAAAGTGCTGGGTGGACTGACCTCAGCCAATCAGCCAATCAGACAGCGTTGAGAAATTCAGACCTTAATGCTGAGTGAATGCCCAGTGTCATTTGTAGCTGAATGCAGCCGTGTAATGGGTGCTGGGTGATTATCTGTAATGTATGGAAAGCAAGATGAGAATCTCTTTTTACTCCTTCCCTTACTGTTTTCTAATCTAATTGACAAAGAGCTCAGGGAAGTGCAGTAAAAATTCTTCTCTAGTCAGTGGGTGAATTTTTTTTTTTTTAATGTGAGAACAATCAAAAAGTATGAAGGAGAATGAGCTGGAGTAACCTCGATTTAAGAAAACAGTAACACTGTATATTAAAAAAAAAAAAGAAAGAAAGAAAAAGAAAAGTAACAGAGATAAAGTGAGGGGAGAAGGAACAGATGGATGAGACCATCAGATTTCACTTTCCGGGAAGGAAATTCATTAGTACAGTAATTCAGCTCTTTAATTATGAATGGGTCTATTTAATTCTCCAAGTTTACTACTGATTTCCTGAATAGCATATGTTTCTGAGTTCAACATATTTATTAGTCCTTTCCAGTACCTTAGCAAAGAGCTGAACGAATGACCCCTCAGCAGGTGAGCACTGGCGTGGGGTGACCTACCCGTGACCATCTCCCCAGAAAGTCTGGACCGCAGAAATGTTCACAGTTTTTAATGAATGTGCACAGCTCTTGAATATGCACAGTAGGACATTTTTAAGTGATTAACACTCAAATTTTTGAAATTATCATGAATTATTGTCCCTAACATTAAGAATTGAGTAAAAGAATGCTTCTGCATTTTCATAATAAACCCAGAAGATTAATATTTCTGGCCCAACTCTAACAGAATTACGAAATTAATGTCCTGCAATAGTATTTCTGAATATTCAGTAATAATGTTGCTCATAGTTCTGTAGTTTCATGGGGAAGACAAATGTTTTCTGTAAATTCAGTTGTCATCTGCTTAGAACATAGGTCCCTAGTGGATAAGGCTGTTTTATTATACATATGAAATTATATATATATGAAATTTCATATATATATGAATTTATATATGAAATTTCATATATATGAAATTATATATATGAAATTTCATATATATATATGAAATATATATGGGCTTTCAGATATATATATCTTGTAGTCCCTAGAACAGCCCTAGCTTCTATAACCTACATGTTGATGGATAAGAAACTACTACAATTTCAAATGACAAAATACTTACAACCAAATCAGATTTTTCAATATGGGAAGAGCCATTTTTCTATCAAGTGCTTGTTTGCAGTGATTCACACCATATAATGAATCAATACCTTATATTTTTAGGTTTAAAATATATTTTTAATTCTTAAAAAGCAACAATACTGATATATACATATTTAAATAAATCTGTGTTTTCAACTCAATTAGCTCATTTGGGAAGACTAATAGGAATTTTACATTTTTATATGAATGTGAATAAAGAAAGAAGGGGTTCATGAAGAAGGAAAATAAGATAAATATTTTATACTTTTTCAAACTACAAGAGCTTTTTTTTTTTTTTTGCTATAGTAACAAGAAGAGCAAACTTTCCTGAGTTTCATATAGATCCTAACTTCATGCTTACAAAAGGGGTGGGGAAGAGTGATCATTTTTTAACATTATATTTATATCTATAATGGTGGATACATATTTTATTTTTAGATCTTATGCACGAAATCATCAAGTGGAAATATGAAAAGTAGTGTAAAATACACCCACTCACAGGGATTTTAAAGATATGCCTACCAACAAGAGCAAACATTTACAAGAAACCCCAAGATGATTTGGAGAGGGAAACGTGCTGGGCTGGGAAGGAAAGAGGTTGGAGGCTGCAGCCCAGCTTTGAGGCTATGATGGTCCAGTCGCTGTCAGGCTCTGCATCTCACTTTCCTGTTCTGTAAAATCTGACCATATGATCTGGAAGCTCCCTTCCAGCTCTAAGCCGGCAATGCTTACATAGAGAATAAAATGAACACCCCACCCCACTGGGGTTACTGCTGATCCACACAGATGCACACTCCCACTTCCCTGCATCCTCACGTTCACTACATTCATCTCCATCTGATTATCAAGTTGCAAACTGGACCAGTGCCAAACAGCAACTTCTGTTATAAAATCTCTCTCAATCTAATTCCCACATGGGAGAAAGGCACCAGGAAGATGGAGCGGCCCCATCTTCCTCTCCAAATGAAACCCGACTAAGACAGTCCAACCAGCCTGTGTTCCCAGAGACAGCTCCCAGCTTCAGATGCGGCAGCCTGATGTTGATGAGGTCAAGTCACAGATCCAAGACTCACCAAAAAAAATCACCACACACAGAAAAAGGAAAAACAACTTCTTTTCTTATCCAGAGTGTGTCCATTAACCTGGAGGCACGTCCAAGAGTCCTTGAAGCTGTAACCAATGGCAGTAGCACGGAGTGCAGGTGCGTCAGCCCATTCCATGCCACTGCCAGCAGAGCCACCTGAGCATCCCCAGAACGGAGACCCCTTGACCTTCCCATTTTTTACCATGTGGCACAGCTCCTCTGTTCTGGGGGGAAATCATCCTAAGAAAGGATACTGTGTTGCTATTGACACAGGAAAAATACGCTTGGGCATTTCTCACGGTAAGCTAATTTGCAAAAGGCCTAATTACAGTAAGCAAACATTTTCCAGCCCCAGGAGAGGAGGGAAAGAGGATGGGGATGTGCTCGCTCCTTGAGGACCTGGCCCTTCCTCTCTGTCCCTGGGAGAACTCAGGGCCAGGGTCATACCTTGTTGCAGGGAACCTGGGAAGGAGGGTCTTTGGCTGGTCCCTGGGTTCAGGGTGAAACTCTGGATGGTCCCACAATGTAGGAAGGGGAAAGTGAATGTCAGGGATGACCAGCCGTGTCTGCTACACACCCGCGTGGATGCCAGCCCCCTCCCATCACTGTGACTCCAAAGGCCGGAATCTCTCTCATCATCTTGTCAGCCCCCCAGGTCTTAGCACAGAGTGAGTGAACATGAGAACGTCGCTGAATGGCGTTAGAATCATAAACACCATTTCTTTAGCCTCTGAGACATCATGATTATGATATTGTAATGGCCACATGGTCTGAGCATTCGCCCATGTCAGGCTGGAGCTCGCTAACCACCTGAAGGTGCACACCATGAGCCAGCTTCACAGTCAGCTTTGGATGAGGCCGCCGGGCAGATCCAGGCCCCCCACAACCAGGCCGCTGCAGGGTATCCCACTGCCTGGCTACCTGACTACCTGCGCAGGACTGCGGCGCTGTCTCACCTCTAGCCATGCAAAGCGAAAACCTCTGCGATTGCTTCTGGAAGGGCCGCTGGCAGAGGCACTTTTCCATTGGTGGAGGAAGCCTCCCTTAGCTGAGCAACAGCTGCTGAACCCCATGGTCCTCCTGCCTCCAGACATTCCAATCATACCTCCACATGGCTCTGCAGTAGAGCCCCACATTTATGGATTGCAGCTGTAGCCTTTATGGGTGGACTATGAGTAAGGGAGGGGGGGATAGTTGGAAGAAGGAACCGTGAGCATGTGACTTCAGTGACACCTGTGCTCAGACCACATAGTTTAAGTGTCAGCCTCCATCTTGTGCTTATTTTTAAACCATTACTAATAACTTGACCAACAATCATAATGCAGTTTCCCCCTTACCAACACAGTATTCTCAGGAAATTCATGTTCAAAATTCAGCAGAACAGAATTCCTGCTAGAAAAAGCACTAACTGGCCGGGCACGGTGGCTCACGCTTGTAATCCCAGCACTCTGGGAGGCTGAGGTGGGCAGATCACCTGGGGTCAGGATTTCGAGACCAGCCTGGCCAACATGGTGAAACTCTGTCTCTACTAAAAATACAAAAGTTAGCTGGGCATAGTGGTGCACGCCTGTAATCCCAGCTACTCGGGAGGCTGAGGCATGAGAATCGCTTGAACCCAGAAGGTGGAGGTTGCAGTGAGCCGAAATTGCACCATTGCACTACAGCCTGGGTGACAAGAGCAAGACTCCATCAAAAAAAAAGGAAAAAAAAAAAAGCACTAGCTGTGGTGAACAGAACTCCTGGCTGAAAAACATATAATTAGAAGATGCAAGGGAGCGATTTCCAGACTGCCAGCAGGGACTGAGCCACTCACCAACCAAGCCCCACAGACCACGTTTCGTCAGAGCAAACCTTGCCAGGGCTTCTCTGCCTCTTACATCAGAGTGGGCCATTGGGGTCGTCGGACAACAGCCTGGGCGCTGGTAATTGCCTGTCTCTGTTGAGGGACGGGTACAGGCCACAGGGAAGGTCCACGTTTCCTACACTATCTGGAGAATCTAAATTGCTACAATATTTTAAATATGCCTTTAGTTGCAGGAAGGTGAGGGAAAGGCCACTAAAACGTGGGTTCCACAAGGGAAGGAGCCTTTTTTATTTGGTTCTGAGGCCCTAGAACAGCGTCTGACACATCATCATTGTCAATAAAATGTATTAAATGAATGTTAGCTGTGAAATAACACTAAGATAATTAAATACCCTAATTTGTCTTCATGTTCCTTCTGTTTTGCCTGTGGCTGGCTTCTCTTTGGCCATGCCCAGACCACCCCAGGCCAATGACCTTCCACAGTCTCTGACTTTCTCCACTCCGTCCCTGCCAGCAGCCCCTGTTCTACCTCTATGCCATGAGCACACATGGGGATACCGTCGTGCACAGGGGGTACCATCCTGCATGGGAGGTGCCATCGTGCATGGGTGGTACTGTCCTGCACAGGGAGTACCATCCTGCACGGGGGGTACTGTCCTTTGCTGGGGATACCGTCATGCATGGGGGGATACCATCCTGCACAGGGGGTACCATCCTGCATGAGGGTTACTGTCCTGCACGGGGGGTACCATCATGCATGGGGGTACCATCGTGTACTGGGGATACCATCCTGCATGGGGGGTACCATCCTGTACAGGGGTTACCATCCTTCACTTGTTGTATGGTCCCGCACCGAGGGTACTGTTCTGCACAGTGTACTGTTCTACATGAGGGGTACCATCCTGCACAGGGGCTACCATTCTACACTGGGGGTACCATCCTGTACAAGGGGTACTGTTCTGCATGAGGGGTACTGTTCTACGCCAGGGGTATTGTCCTACACCAAGGATACCATCCTGCAATGGGGGTACTGTCCTACACCAGGGGTACTGTCCTATACAGGGGTCACAGGGGGGTACTGTCCTACACCAGGGGTACCATCCTACACAGGGAGTACAGGGGGCACTGTTCTACACCAGGGCACCATCCTACACCAAGTATACCATCCTGCACTGGGGGTAACATCCTATACCAGGGGTACTGGCCTACCCAGGGGGTACAGTGGGTACTGTCCTCCACCAGGGGTACTGTCTTGCATGAGGGGTACTGTTTTGCACAGGGTGTACCCTCCTTCACTGGGGGTACCATCCTGCACCAAGGTTACTATACTGCATTGGGAGTAGCACCCTGCCAACAACTTTCCAGTCAGGATTTTCCCAGATTCTGTCCCTCAAGAAATAATAAAAACATTTGCCCAACAAGTTATAGTGTGCACGGCATTTGGGACATTATTTTATGTGTGAGCTACATTTATCTAATAGCAGGCAGCAGTAAGGCATGTAGAGAGGGCATGAGCTTTGCAGGTGGGGACACTAGATGCCAAATCCCACTTCAGTCACCAAGAACTGTGTGGCCTCACGAAAGTCAGTTTAAATGGATTTGAACTTCACCTTTCTCACGTAAAGTGAGACATGAATACCTTCCTCTTAGAGTTCTGATAAAGATTAGATCCCATAGATGCAAAACCTAGCATGGGGAGCAGCAAGTAGGAACCCAAAACCAATCATGTGCCTTCCCACCATCATATTCACTTGCTCGTCAGTATCATCACTTGGCAGGATGCTCCCGTGAGACGTGGCCCGTTTCTTTGCTCCCATCGGAGCAGGCAGGCAAAAGCGCAGGACGAAGGAAGGCTCTCCAGTCTCTCTGACTTCTTCCCCCAGCAGCTGAGTTCTTGGGGGACATGGTAGGCTCTATAGAGATAGAAGGTCTGAGGGAAGCAAAATTTCCCCAAAAATGAAAAGCACAAAGGTCTCACGGGTTGTGGGAGCAGGAAAGATTCACCCTTCACTGGCGGCTCTGCAGGAAGCAGCATGCCCAGAGGGCCCACCTCCAGAAGACACACCGGCCGGAACAAAGGACCAACTCCAGCTGCAGATGCACTTTGCCTGCCCCCAGTGATTTTATTTCCAAATGTACATAGTTGTCAATATATAATAACAGATGTTTTATAAAAATCTGAATTTCTGGTTTTGGAAAACAAAAGCTGGCCACGTGGAGCCTATATTCCTATATTCAGCTGGAGCTGAACAGGTCAACCAAGAGGACCAGGGAGCAAGGTCAGGCACCCCCCTCACCTCTGGTGCCGCTGGATAGAGAACCAGTGGGTGCAAGCTTGTTATGTGGCAGGTCTTAGAAAGTCGTATTTGAGCTGTCATGTAAATTAAAAATGGAGCTTTGAACATTCCAGTGGTTGAACTAGAAAAGAATTACACTTTGCCAGCTACATAAATAAGTGGAAATATTATTCAGGTTCTAAGGAAAGAAGCCCTATAAAAAATTTGTGCTCTTTATAAATAATTAAATAATAAACCATTACCATATAGAATGCCAGCTAGCTGAGAAAAATCATGGTTTAAGAGAAATTTCAATGCTATAAAAACGCCCATGAATATGTTCTAGGTCAAACATAAATAACCAAAGAGTATAAACAGCACAACCCCAACTTTGTCAAAATATAGAAACCCAGAACACAAAACAAACAGAAAAATTTTAACAGCGTTAATCTCTTGGATGGGGAAATTTTACTCTTCGTACTTTTATGCAATTTCCAAACTTTCTATAATGTCCATATATTAATTTCAAAACAAGAAAAGCAAAGCTATATAGGCTCTCTATCTTTTGAGCCTTCTATATTTCACTCCACTTTTAAGTTAGTGTCTATTTTCTTTAAAAATAAAGAAAAATTTAATAACGTTTACTGCCTCTTCTTTGGTTCATTGAAATCTGAGCCAAAGCTCAAAACCTAGAAGATGACAGCTTCTTGCTCACCAACAGACTCAACATGGAAAAAAGTAGGAACATGCCTGTT